>NC_000012.12:111854067-112005582 GCF_000001405.40 Homo sapiens
TGTTGAGGATTGTTTAATCTATATTCATGATAGATACTTTCTTGTGATGCCTTTTTCGAGTTTTGGTATGAATGTAATGCTAGCTTTATAGAACAAGTTAGAAAGTATACCCTCCTCTATGGGATCATTACTATGAACATAGTAAAGATTTTCTTTTCTTTTTCTTTTTCTTTTTCTTTTTTTTTTTTGAGATGGAGTCTCATTCTGTTGCCAGGCTGGAGTGGAGTGCAGTGGCATGATCTCAGCTCACTGCAACCTCCGCCTCCCTGGTTCAACTGATTATTTTGTCTCAGCCTCCCAAGTAGCTGGGACTTGAGGCGTGCGCCACCACGCCCAGCTAATTTTTGTATTTTTAGTGGAGATGGGGTTTCACCATGTTGGCCAGATGGTCTTGATCTCTTGACCTCGTGATCCACCTGCCTCGGCCTCCCAAAGTGCTGGGATTACAGGCATGAGCCACCGTGCTCGGCCAGTAATGATTTTCAATATGAAATAAAAGGGTATTTTACAGCCAGGTGTGGTGGCTCACATCTGTAATCCCAGTACTTTGGGAGGCCAAAGTTTGGAATACATTATTTCGTTAAATATGTGGTTCTCAGTGGAATGGGCAGGGATTTTACCTCTTGGGAGACATTTGGTAACATCTGGAGACATTTTTGGTTATCACAGTTGGTAGCGGGTGCTTCTGGCACCTAGTGGGTAGACGGCAGGAATGCTGCTGAACATCCTAAAAGGCCAAGGCAACCCCACAACAGAGAACTATCTGGCTCAAAATGTCAGTGGTGCTGAGGTTGAGAAACCCAACAAATGTGTAGTATTTACCACTGAAACCAATGTGCCTAGACTTTGTTTCATGGGAAGATACTCAGTTATTAATTCAGTTTTTTTTACTTGTTACAGGTCTATTCAGGTTTTCTTTTTCTTCTTGAGTGAGTTTTGGTAATTTCTTTCTAGAAATTTGTCCATTTTATCTAGTGCTTTAATTTGTTGGCATAAAGTCGTTCATGGTTTTCCCTTTTAATACTTTGATTTCTGTAAAGTCAATTGTGATGTTCCCTCTTTCCTTTCTAATATTAATAATTTGTGTCCTGCCCTTTTTGTATTGGTCAATTCAGCTAAAGGTTTGTTAACTTTGTTGATCTTTTCAAATAATCAACTTTTGGTTTTCATTGATTTTCTCTATTTTTCTGTATTCTGTTTTATAGCTCTCTGCTCAAATCTTTATTATTTTCTTCTTTCTGCTTGCTTTGAGTATAGTCTGCTCTTTTTCTACATTTTAAAGGTAGAAGGTTAGGTTAGTGATTGTGATCTTTTCTAAGGTAGGCATTTACAGCTATAAATTTCTGTTTCAGCACCACTTCAACTTCATCTCATTATTTTTGGCAAATTGTGTTTGCATTTTCATTGAGATAAAATATTTTCTAATATCTCATGTTAAATCTTCTTTGACCTCCTGGTTATTTATAAGTGTGTTGTTTAGGCCAGGTGCAGTGGCTCACGCCTGTAATCCTCGCACTTTGGGAGGCCAAGGCAGGCGGATCACGAGGTCAGGAGTTCGAGACCAGCCTGGCCAATATGGTGAACCCCCATCTCTACTAAAATTACAAAAATTAGCTGGGCATGGTGGTGTGCACCTGTAGTCCCAGCTACTTGGGAAGCTGAGGCAGAAGAATCGCTTGAACCTGGGAGGCAGAGATTGCAGTGAGCCAAGATTGCGCCACTGTACTCCAGCCTGGTGACAAAGTGAGACTCCATCTCAAGAAAAAAAAATGCGTTGTTTAATTTCTTTTTTTTTTTTTTTTCTTGAGATGGAGTTTCGCTCTTGTTGCCCAGGCTGGAGTGCAATGGCGTGATCTTGGTTCACCGCAACCTCTGCCTCCCAGGTTCAAGCGATTATCCTGCCTCAGCCTCCCGAGTAGCTGGGATTACAGGCATACACCACCATGCCTGGCTAATTTTGTACTTTTAGTAGAGACTGGGTTTCTCCATGTTGATCAGGCTGGTCTCGAACTCCTGACCTCAGGCGATCTGCCCACCTTGGCCTCCCAAAGTGCTGGGATTACAGGCGTGAGCCACTGTGTCCAGTCGTGTTGTTTAATTTCTGAATATGTATGGATTTCCCAACTTTCCCTTCTGTTCATTTCTGGCTTAATTCCATGGTGGTTGGAGAACTTCATATAATTTATTTTCAATTCATTTAGTTTTTTTTATGATCTAGAATATGGCCTATCATAAGCCATTTCAGATTAAGACTAACTTTAAATTAATACTAATAGTTTCAGTAAAATATAGAAAATGCTCCAGTTTAGCTCCATTGTCTCCCTCTTCTTTTTTTTTCTTTCTTTTTTTTTTTTTTGAGACGGAGTCTCACTCTGTCTACCCAGGCTGGTGTGCAGTAGCATGATCTCGGCTCACTGCAACCTCCACCTCCTGGGTTCAAGTGATTCTCCCATCCCAGCGTCCTGAGTAGCTGGAATTACAAGTGTGCACCACCATGCCTGTCTAATTTTTGTATTTTTAGTAGAGATGGGGTTTCACCATTTTGGCCAGGCTGGTCTCAAACTCCTGACCTCAGGTGATCCACCTGCCTTGGCCTCCCAAAATGCCAGGGTTACAGGTGTGAGCCACTGTGCTCAGCCTTCTCCCTCTTCTTTTGTGTTACTGTTGTCTATGTATTATATATGTATATATTACAAACCAGAAAATACAGTGTTGTAGTTATTTGTTTATGCAGTTAAATCTTATGTGTTTTAAATAAGAGAGAAAGGAATAAAATATATTTACAGCCTTTTATGTTAACCTACAGTATATTTACCATTTTTGTTATTCTTCATTTTTTCCCTCTTGATCCAAGTTACTATCTGATGTAAATTCTCTGTTGATTTTCTGGATATGTATTTTTGAAATGCTTTTATGAGGATTATAATATGCATCTTTAATTTATCACAGTCCACTTTGGGTTAAAATTGACTAAAGTCTGGTAATATACAGCACCTTTGCTCCAAGGTAGCTCTATTTCCTCCTTTCTCCCTTGTGTTCTTATTGTCATGTATATCTTTATATGTTATAACCTATCTTATGTATATTTATGAAATTAAGAGAAGAAAATAATTTTTTCCATGTTTACCTGTTCTAGTACTTTCTGTTCCTTCTTGTGGATCCAAGTTTTCTTTTTTCTTTTTTTTTTTTTTGAGATGGAGCCTCGCTCCCGTTGCTTAGGCTAGAGTGCAGTGGTATGATCTCGGCTCACTGCAACCTCCACCTCCCGGGTTCAAGCAATTCTCCTTCCTCACCCTCCGTAGTAGCTGGGAATACAGGTGTGTGCCACCATGCCTGGCTATTTTGGGGTTTTATTTTGTATTTTTAGTAGAGACGAGGTTTCGCCATGTTGGCCAGGCTGGTCTTGAACTCCTGACCTCAGGTGATCCCTCCCATCTTGGCCTACCAAAGTGCTAGGATTACAGACGTGAGCCACCGTGCCCGGCCTGATCCAAGTTCTCATACAGTAGCATTGCCATTCTCTCCAAAGGACTTCCTTTGGTAGTTCTTGTAGGCCAAGTCTACTAGCAGTGAATTCTTTCAGTGTTTATTTATTTGATAATGCCTTTATTTCACTGTTAATTTTTGAGGGATAGTTTTGTTCAATATAGAATTTATGCTTGACAGTTGTTTTTTCAGTACTTTCATTATGTGATTCTACTGTCTTCTGGCTTGCATTGTTTCTGATGAAAAGTCAGCCATTATTTATATTGCTGTCCATGATTTGTCATTTTTTCCCTTCGTACTTACATTATTTTCTCTTTCTCTTTCAGTGTTTTTTTTTGTGTGTGTGTGTTTGTGTGTGTGTGTGAGACAGGGTCTTGCTCTGTTGCCTAGGCTGGAGTGCAGTGGCATGATCTCAGCTTACTGCAACCTCAATCTCCTGGGCTCAAGCAACCCTCCTACCTCAGCCTACCCAGTAGCTGGGACCACAGGCACAGGCATGCACCACTACACCAGGCTAAATTTTGTATTTTTTGTAGAGACGGAGTTTTGCCATGTTGCCCAGGCTGGTCTTGAACTCCTGACTTCAAGTGATCCTCACCCTGCAGCCTCCCAAAGTGCTGGGATTACAGGCGTGAGCAACTGCACCTGGTCTTGTCTTTCAGTGTTTTGACTGTGGTATGTCTAGGTGTGGTTCTTTTTGTGTTTATCTTATTTAGAGTTTGTTGAGCTTCTTGGAGGCCATAGGTTATTACTGTTCATCAAGTTGGGGAAGGTTTTGCCTATTATTTCTTCAAATATTCCCACCTCCCCCATCTTCACCCCTCTTTGGCTCTCCCATTACACATATGTTGGAACGCTTGACATTATTCTACAGGTCTCATTTTTCTTTAATCTTTTTTCTGTCTATTCTTTGGATTTGATCATTTCTTTCTATGTATTTTCATGTTCACTAATTATTCTGTCACCTGAAAATCTGTTGAGCACCTCTTTTTTTTTTTTTTTTTTTCCAAAACGGAGTCTTGCTCTGTCACCCAGGCTGGAGTGCAGTGGTGCGATCGCAGCTCACTGCAACCTCCGCCTCCTGGGTTCAAGCAATTCTCCTGCCCCAGCCTCCTGAGTAGCTGGGATTACAGCACCTGCCACTGTGCCTGGCTAATTTTTGTATTTTTAGTAGAGACGGGGTTTCACTGTGTTGGCCGGGCTGGTCTCGAGCTCCTGACCTCATGATCCGCCCGCCTTGGCCTCCTAAAGTGCTGGGATTACAGGCGTGAGCCACCGTGCTCAGCCTGTTGAGCACCTCTGATCAGTTTTTCATGCCAGTCATTATAATTTTTAACTCTAGAATTTCCATGTGGTTCCTCTTCATTTTTTCTGTTTCTCGGCTGAAAATCTCTATTTATCATTATTTTTTACTTCGTCATCAGTTTTCTTTAATTCTTTGGACGTTTAAAATAGTTGCTTTTAAGTGCAACTACTTGCTCAATCTAGTATCTGCATCCAATCAGAGATGGATGCTATTGATTTCTCTTTTTCCTGAGCTTAGGTGACACTTTCCTGGTTTTTACAAGTCTAGTAATTTTGGTTGAAAACTGGACATTTAGATAATATAGCAACTCTGGATTCTGAGTTTTCCCCCCTGTGGCTTGTTATATTTACAGTTAATTGCTTAGAATTAAACCAGAATCTATTTTTCCTTTGGTGTGCTAATGTCTCTGCTTAGTTTTAAATTATTATTAGTTTTTTCGAGACGGAGTCTCACTCTGTCACCAGGCTGGAGTGCAGTGGCATGATCTCAGCTCATTGCAACCTCCGCTTCCCAGGTTCAAGCGATTCTCCTGCCTCAGCCTCCCGAGTAGCTGGGATTACAGGCACCCGCCACCACGCCCAGCTAATTTTTGTATTCTCAGTAGAGATGGGGTTTCAAGCTGGTCTCAAACTCTTGACCTCGTGATCCTCCTGCCTTGGCCTCCCAAGTGCTGGGATTATAGGCGTGAGCCACTGTGCCCGGTCAATTTTAAAATTTTTATTTTCAGCTGGGCTCAGTGTCCTACGCCTGTTATCCCAGCACTTCTTTTTTTCTTTTCTTTTCTTTGCTTTTCTTTTTTTTTTTTTTGAGACTGAGTTTCGCTCTTGTTGCCCAGGCTAGAGTGCAATGGCATGATCTCAGCTCACTGCAGCCTCTGCCTCCCTGGTTCAAGCGATTCTCCTGGGTTAGCCTCCTGAGTAGCTGAGATTACAGGTGCCCACCACCATGCCCGGCTAATTTTGTAATTTTAGTAGAGACGGGGTTTCATCATGTTGGTCAGGCTGGTCTCGAACTCCTGACCTCAGGTGATCCACCCGCCTCAGCCTCCCAAAGTGCTGGGATTACAGGCGTGAGCCACCGTGCCCAGCGAATCCCAGCTACTTGGGAGGCTGAGGCAGGAGAATTGCTTAAACCTGGGAGGTGGAAGTTGTAGTGAGCCGAGATTGCGCCATCGCACTCCAGCCTGGGCAACAAGAGTGAAACTCCGTCTCAAAAGAAAATAAAATATTTTCATTTTTTCTTCCCAGCCTGGCTTTTGGTGGGTTGTCCCTGTATCTGTTTAACTTAGTTGTCAGCCAGTGATTTGGGCAGAGGTTCTCAAATACTTTCAGCCCCTGAGGCTTTTACCCTATCCTGATCAACTTACAGTCAAATGCTCTACTGCTGAGCTATACCCCCCTGATCAATGTGTATGTGGGTTTGGAGAAACTCTAAAAAATTGCTGCTGGCTCTAAAGTCTCCTTTGGTTTTCAGTTTTTCCTGGTTCTCTTAGGTATAATTTCCCAGTCAGTGATGGTCATGTGAAGAGCTTAACTCAGACTTTCTATGGCTCTGTTTCAGGATTTTCCCATTAAATCTCTGGATGTTCTGCCCATCTAACAAAGACAACTGCCAAAGCTGTTCATTTCCATCCACATTCACCACTTTTAGCTGGTAGATCCATGAATTTTCTTCCTCACCCCAAATTGAGTCCACCCCCTAGAGCAGCAGAACTGCTGATTTTCATAGCTGGCCCCATGTTGGGAAAACTAGCATTGTCACCAGCTGACTATGCTGTAAGCAGTGGGGATAGAGGAGTAGAAGGATGGCAGGATCCTAGGCTAGAAAGCTTACTATTTTTACCTGAACCTCTAGCAGATTTTCAAGAATCTGTACTTCTCAGTTTGTTTGATTTACACTGTATTGAAATAGTTCTTTCTGACAATTTTAATTTTTAACTTTTCCATTGTGGCGAGGAATTGCCTACCACTTCATGCTGTGAATACAAGAATTTCTATGCCTGTAATCCCAGCACAGGCATGGAAATTCTTGTATTCACAGCATGAAGTGGTAGGCAAGTGAGGCCGAGGCAGGCAGATCACTTGAGGTCAGGAGTTCGAGACCAGCCTGGCCAACACGGTGAAACCCTGTCTCCACTAAAAGTACAAAAATTAGCTGGGTGCAGTGGTGGGCACCTGTAATACCAGCTACTCAGGAGGCTGAGGCAGGAAAAGCTTGAACCCAGGAGGTGGAGGTTGGCGTGAGCCGAGATCGCGCCACTGCACACCAGCCTGGGCAACAAGAGCGAGACTCCGTCTAAAAAAAAAAATAATTTCCATTTTTTCTTAGTTTTTGAGCTTCAGAGAATGACTAGGGTCTGCCTTACTAGAGATAAAGGTAAGAATAGAGGACTAATGCCCAGGCCACTTCTCAAACAAGTAGTATTAGAATCCCCTTTGTGTCAGGTAGTTTTTTTGTTTTTTTTGTTGTTGTTGTTTTGTTTGTTTTTTGAGATGGAGTCTCACTCTGTCACAGGCTGGAGTGCAGTGGCGTGATCTCGGCTCACTGCAACCTCCGCCTCCCAGGCTCAAGCGATTCTCCTGCCTCAACCTCCCAAGTAGCTGGGATTACAGGCGCCGCCACCACACCCGGCTAATTTTTTTATTTTTAGTAGAGATGGGGTTTCACCATGTTGGTCAGGCTGGTCTCGAACTCCTGACCTCATGATCTGCCTGCTTCAGCCTCCCAAAGTGCTGGGATTATGGGCATGAGCCACCATGCCCGGCCTGCATCAGGTAGCTTTAAAAAAATCTTCTCAGGCGATTGTGATGTGCAGTTATTGTTGAGATCCAGCAGTTTAGAACAGTGTTTAGAAAAGCAAGCTTTCTCTGTAAAGGGTGATATAGGAAATATTTTAGGTTTTGCGGTCCCTGTGGTCTCTGTTCCAACCCCTCAACTCTGTTGTTGTAGTGTGAAAGCAGCCAAAGACAGTATGAAAGCGAGTAGATATGGCTATATTCCAATACACTTTATTTGCAAAAACAGGCAATGGCTGAATTTGCTGACCCCTTGTCTTGGAGAATTCTCAAAAATGATTTTATTCCAAGTGTTTGTATCCTTGTTAATTTAAGGTAGTGTGTATATTTCTTAGCACAACCCAGCCTTTGCATTTGTCATTGATGTCTTTGAAGAATTAGTCCATAATTTCCTTCAGTAGAAGTGTTTTAATTGACCATGCCTTCCTACCTTCTCCTTTGTCATTAAAATATGTGAGAAAATGTGCCAGCCGTGGGCAATCTAGTTGAAAGGTGTGTGTTAACTTTTTTGGCCCAGTTGGGCTCAGTGAAGCCTTAGCTGGCTAGTGTTTATGGCACCATCAACAAAGATGGAAGAATTAAGCCTGGGAAAAAGGACAGGAGGTATAAAAAATGGGGTCCAGAAATTCAGCTGTAGGAGAGCCTGGTAGTGGTTCTCCTACCTTCTGCAAAGTTCAGTGTCAAAACTCCAATCAGAGTCTCTACAAGTTGAACTTTCTTGGCTGTCCATCAGGTAGAGTACTAACTTAGTAAGTACAGTGGAGGGCCGGGTGCAGTGGCTCATGCTTGTAATCCCAGCACTTTGGGAGGCCAAGGTGGGCGGATCACCTGAGGTCAGGAGTTCAAGACCAGCCTGGCCAACACAGTGAAACCCCATCTCTACTAAAAATACAAAAATTAGTTGGGTGTGGTGGTGCGCAACTGTAATCCCAGCTACTTGGTAGGCTGAGGCAGGAGAATCGCTTGAACTCGGGAGGCAGTGAGGCCAGATCACGCCATTGTGCTCCAGCCTGGGCGACAGAGCAATACTCTGTCTCAAAAAATAAAAAAATAAGTACAATGGAGAATTTGGTCAGACAACTTATTTTTACATCCGAGGGGTTGGGCATATGAACTCTGATTATAATGAATAGTTCAGTAGAACAAATCTTATTTTCCATAGAGTCTACTGTGAGTGTATGATTCCATTAGTTGAGTGGAACAGTTTTTACCACGATGCTTAAATTCTGCTTCAACTCCCTCCTTCCCACTACTCTATTCCCCTGGGTCTCGTCAGATACTCCTAAGTCAAACAGGTCATGTAGCAGATAAGTGAAGGAAGTAGGCAGGTTAAGTGGGTAGGTTTGAGTTCTGTTGAGGAGGTGGTGAGTGAAGATGGAGCCTAGGACCTCTCTGATTGGGCAGTACTTGTTCCTAATCTTTATGCTGGGGCCTGGGCAGTTACCCTTAATAGATGGAAAGGTGCTTAGGGTAGGGGATGGTAGAGGACGCCAGAGCCATAGATTATAGCCTAGATAGTGCCCATAACTCACTGTGTGACCTTGACAAGCTCCATAATCCTGACGCACAGTTTTTCAGAAGGGAGTTTGTATAGCGATCTTTTGGGTCCTCCTAACTCAATATCCCTTCATCACAAGGCTTTAGTCTGCCTTTCTAGGGATTAATTCCTTTCTAGTCATTCATTCCATAGTTATTTACTGTATGCTGAGAACCTTTACCAAGAATTGGACACAGAAAGGGGTGGAGATGAAGACTTTCCAAGCCTGGCACATTCACTGGATAGAGGCCTTGTTTTCATACCTGAACTTAGCCTGGTATACTAGCTGCTCAGTGAGTGTGTATTACGTAAGCAAATATCCTATTCCTGTATACTAGCGAGCGGGATTCTTGTGCTACATAGTCTATCAGATTTTCATTGCAACAAAACAACGTGAAAGTCTTATGGATTTTGATTTTTTTTTTTTTTTTTGAGATGGAGTTTTGCTCTTGTCGCCCATGCTGGAGTGCAATGGCGTGATCTTGGCCCACAGCAACTTCTGCCTCCTGGGTTCAAGCCACTCTTCTGCCTCAGCTTCCTGAGTAGCTGGGATTACAGGCATGCGCCACCATGCCTGGCTAATTTTGTATTTTTAGTAGAGATGGGGATTCTCCATGTTGGTCAGGCTGGTCTTGAACTCCCACCTCAGGTGATCCTCCCACCTCGGCCTCCCAAAGTGCTGGGATTACAGGCATGAGCCACTGTGCCCGGCAGGATTTTGATTTCTTAAGGTCTGCAGTTGGTTTCCTATTTTACCTGTGGAAGCCTGCAAAAATGAATTTTAGACTATCACAATTTAAATATGTGACTTTCTTGCCTGTAACCCCAGCTATTTGGGAGGCTGAGGCAGGAGGATTGCTTGAAGTCAGGAGTTTGAAACCAACCTGGGCAACATAGCAAGACCCTGTCTCTAAAAAAAGAAAAAAGAAAAAAATTAGCCAGATGCTGTGGTGTGTGCCTGTTTTCCTAGTTACTTGGGAGGCTGAGGTGGTAGGATCATTTGAGCCCAAGAGTTCAAGGCTGCAGTGAGAAATGATCACACCACTGCACTCCAGCCTGGGTGACCCTCGGTCTTCTCGGCTCACTGCAGTCTCCACCTCCTGGGTTCAAGCAATTCTCCTGCCTCAGCCTCCCGAGTAGCTGGGACTATAGGCACGCGCCACCACGCCCAGCTAATTTTCGTAGTTTTTAGTAGACACGGGGTTTCACCATGTTGGCCAGGATGGTCTTGATACCTTGACCTCATGATCTGCCTGCCTTGGCCTCCTAAAGTGCTGGGATTACAGGTGTGAGCCCGGCCGAGACCCTGTCTCTTATAATAAATAAGTGAGTGAATGAATTAATTAATTAAATTCTTTTTTATCTAAAAGCATATGGCAACAGAGGCTAACATGCAATAGTTAGCCAAGAATTCCATTACAACTTTCATTAAACTGTAGAGGCTCTATCCTAAACTGTTGAAAGTTATTTATATCAGAAATATACTTACATAATGAAATTGACAGAATATATCTGTACACAAAATGGTGGTGTTGGAAATTAGATGTTTACTATGATATTGATTAGTTACTATTTTTTTTGAACTTTTAAGTCTCAGTTTATTCAGTTATTCCAATAATGTAATCAACTTGTTCAGGGATATAGGCCTCTACAGCTTGGCAGCATATATCTGACTAGTCTTTCTAGAATCTCATAAAATATACTTGACCATTGTAGCAAAGAGGCATTTAGTAATTGATGCATTTTGAAAGAGTATCTTCCTCTCAGAACCCCCCAAAAGCATTGATTGTCTATGGAAATGTACCTTATAGATGAGCTGAATAATTTCCTTTTATCGTGAAGTCTTTGCTTTCTTGTTGGAAAATTGGGAAACAATGTCTGAGTCATTGTCATTTAGACAAAATGTCATAAAGCCCTGTAGAACACAAAGTTCTGCTTATCAGATTCTCTTAGAAGATGAGCTGTTGAGTGACAGGTCTTCTGTTGTCCCATCTCTGCTTATTCAGTTTGTTAACTGAGGAATCATTCTCTGTCCTCTCCCTTTTTTTATATTAATAGGAAACTTCCATTTTAGAAGAATACAGTATCAATTGGACTCAGAAGCTGGGAGCTGGAATTAGTGGTCCAGTTAGGTAAGAGATCCATATGAGAAACTATGGCAAATTGTTGGCATGTGCAAACTCTGAGAAGGGCCATTTGAAATACATCTTGAATTAGACACATCAGGTGTGCCAGATTTGAGGAATAGGCTGAATTTAACAAGTACAGGTTTTTATGTTAGGCTTTTTCTCATGTATTTAGGAATTAGTTAAGAGTGACTGAGTCGCATGGTCTTTTTATAGAGTCATTTAAGATGTCGAGACTGGCCAGGCGCGGTGGCTCATGCCTGTTATCCCAGAACTTTGGGAGGCTGAGGCAGGCGGATCATGAGGTCAGGAGATGGAGACCATCCTGGCCAACATGGTGAAACCCCGTCTCTCCTAAAGATACAAAAATTAGCCAGGTGTGGTGGTGGGTGCCTGTAATCCCAGCTACTCGGGAGGCTGAGGCAGGAGAATCACTTGAACCAGGGAGGCAGAGATTGCAGTGAGCTGAGATCATGCCACTGCACTCCAGCCTGGCCACAGAGCGAGATTCTGTCTCAAAAAAAAAAAAAAAAAAAAAAAAGGGTGTCGAGACTGTGGGGCCACTGTGAGAGTCACCTATAGCCAGCTGAGGCCATTATTTTTTCATTGACCCACAGCCCCAAAAGCATGGCTTAGAAGCTGAGGCCTGAGCATTGGCTGCTGGGCAGAGGGGTGAGATGCTTCTTTCCCCCACCTGCTACCCTTGGGGGCAAGTTTGTTCTGGATGCACCTGGCCATATCCTTGATGAGAAGTACAAATCTCAAAGAAAAAGCTTGTTAAATTAATTTTCATTCTAACATATATGATCTCTGATTGATTTTTTTTCTCCAAATCTAGAGTCTGTGTAAAGAAATCTACTCAAGAACGGTTTGCGCTGAAAATTCTTCTTGATCGTCCAAAAGCTAGAAATGAGGTATGCTTTATTGCCTCGACTTAATTAAATAGTTGAAGTGCCTAAGAATTGTTCTTTTGCAAGTAAGGCAGCTTCCTAGAGAGAATACAGTGATGCATAAAAAGTTTTATGTCCAAACTTTACCTCTCTTCCCCATTCATGCTATCTTAGTAAAGTAGTCCTAGATCTGTCAATATCAAAGGCCATTGAGTCATTTCCTTTCAGCCACCTCTTGTTCTTTTAAAATTAATGTGATTCTTGTACCCTCATGTATTCAGATTTACCTCAGTTTTGCTTATTGAAGAAGGTACTTAAAGGTGGAGATAAAATAGCACAAGGAAGAGTCAGGTGAATGGTGTATAAAAGTGATGCTACAGGAGGACTCTGAGGATGTTTCTAGTTTGTTTCTTCTTTTTGAGACAGAGTTTCACTCTTGTTGCCCAGGCTGGAGTGCGATGGCGCAATCTCGGCTTACGGCAACCTCCGCCTCCCGGGTTCAAGTGATTCTCCTGCCTCAGCCTCCCGAATAGCTGGGATTACAGGCATGCGCCACCACGCATCTTGTATTTTTAGTAGAGACAGGGTTTCTCCATGTTGATCAGGTTGGCCTTGAACTCCTGACCTCAGGTGATCCATCCGCCTCGGCCTCTCAAAGTGCTGGGATTACAGGCGTGAGCCACTGTGCCCGGCCTTTAGTTTTTAAAAATATACATTGGGTTTGTTTTTGTTTCTGTTTGAAACCGAGTCTTGCTCTGTCACCCAGGCTGGAATGCAGTGGCACGATCATGGCTCACTGCAGCCTTGACCTCCTTAAGCTCAAGTGATCCTTCTACCTCAGCCTCCTGAGTAGCTGGGACCACAGGCATTTGCCACCATGCCTGGCTAATTTTGTTTGTATTTTTTGTAGACATGGGGTTTTGCATGTTGCCCAGGCTGGTCTCAAACTCCTGGGCTCAAGTGATCCACTTTGGCCTCCCAAAGTGTTGGGATTACAGGTGTGAGCCACTGCCCCTGGTTATACATTGGTTTTAAACTATCTGGATATGGTAATGACATTCTAATAACATGTGCAATGAAGGACTTCTTTTGCATAAAGAAATGCAAATAATTTCTAAAATGAAATGAATTGTTTGCCAGATTTTCATTTGCAAATAAATGGAACAGTAGGAAGTAAATCTGTTGGTGAGTTTTTATTCATGGAAAAAGCATTAAGGAGATAATCTTTGAAAACACTGGGTTTTTACATCATTCTAAGTGATAAAGTTTTTATTGTAATTAGCTTGTACCTAGTATGGTCAGTTTTTGGAGAGAAAATGTTGGTATCCCCTACCTATTGATACATTTCCTCTGTTCTCTTTAAGGTACGTCTGCACATGATGTGTGCCACACACCCAAACATAGTTCAGATTATTGAAGTGTTTGCTAACAGTGTCCAGTTTCCCCATGAGTCCAGCCCTAGGTAAGACTACACAGTGTCATCATCAAATGCCCACATGTAGGCCAATGTGTAGTGGAGCTGTCCTCTCTTTTATGTGCTCCCTCCCCTTCCCTCTCCTTCTTCCTCCTACCCTCGCTTCCTCTGCCCTTCCTTCTCCCCCTCCATCTCCCTTTTTGTAATTTGGAAAATGTCAAGCATTTGTAAAAGCAGACAGAATTATGTAATGAATCCTCAAGTTCTCATGATCCATCCTCAACAGTAATCCTCTTGTGGCCAGTCTAATTTCATCTATGCCCCTACCACTCTTCACATCCCCTGATGATTCTGATTACTTTCTCATTTCAAGAAAGCATTTAATGTAGAATTTAAACAGATTCTATTTCAAATCAGTGAAAGGGGCCCAAATATTATTCTAGGCAGAGTCTTAGAGGCTGATAAAACAAAAAGCCTTTATTATTGCTTAGTCTAACTTTCCTTTTAAAGAAAGAAATCAACATTATTCTTTTAGTTACCAAATGTTTGGCAAGCATATTGGGTGGCATTCTAAGTCTCTTTGTTAAAATTCAAAATTAAATAAGGTATGGTTTTTTTGGGGAAGACTGAGATGTAAACCCATCATCATAGCAGTGCAATAGGCACTAAGGACAGGCATCCCTAAAATATTCTAAGCTTACAAAGGAGAGGAGCTGCTAACTATAGTCTGGGAGGAGAGGTGTCTCACAAAGGCTGTGTGGAAGCTAGGACTTGAAGGAAGGGTAGGAATTTTCCAGATGGAAAAAGAAGATAGAATTTTAAAAACAAATGGGAAATCAAACAAATGGGAAAAAAACGCTTATTTTTCACAACTGTGCTCTGTTGGTGAAAGCATTTGGATGGAAGCTGGAAGCATATATGAAAGAATGGTAGCCAAAAATCACATTAAAATTTTTTTTTTCAGAACATGAGAATTTTTGCTCTTAGTAACTGTGTTACCCTGGACTTAGGAAGTTGTTACACACTTTGTAGATGCAGTATCTTTAGGTCAGCTTCTTAATGTTTCAGGGTTTTTTGTTTCTTTTTCTTTTTTTTTTTTTTAACTTAACAAAATCAAATGCTTTCAAACAGGGCCCGACTCTTAATTGTAATGGAGATGATGGAAGGGGGAGAGCTATTTCACAGAATCAGCCAGCACCGGCACTTTACAGAGAAGCAAGCCAGCCAAGTAACAAAGCAGGCAAGTTAACCCCAGGTACCAATCAAACTGCCACCAAAGTTGGTTAACAAGCACAATTTCATTGGGGGGAAGAAAAGAAAACTTAAAGAAAAGCTCTATTTGACTTCTCATTGCCTGCTTTGTTATGTAATCAGAAAAGATGTTTTGACAGGAGAAATGTGACCCCTTTTATACTTGGGGGTGGGGGTACTGTGTTCTTAATTGGTTGTCAACTGTTTCCTGAGGCTGCTGTGAGATTTCAATAAACTCTGGAAGGAAGGCATCTTAACTGCTTTGTAGACTGCAGTTATCTTTAGGCATGTAGCTACCAAGTACTGTTATTGGACTTTGCAATAAAATGCTGCTGATACCACCTGAAAGATTGTATGGTATAAAAATGTATTTTAAGAGAATTGTACATAAGATGCTTCCTGCATGTGAGCCACCTTTCTGTGATTTCTTCAGATTTAATAATATCCTAAGATCTTTGTAATTCTGAATTATTCCTGGTTATATTCTATGTTGACATCACATTTTATTGCTGTAGAAATGATTTATGTCACAAACAATACTAGGAATCCAGCTGATAATCACTTCTTGCAGAGGTGAAAAGCTAAACCCTCAAGGCTTATCTTCATACCAGGCAAGCAAAGCAAAGAGAATTAGGAAGCACAGCCCAATTGCTTCTTAATAAAAAGTTCTTCCAAGTTTCCCATGAACCTTAAGCAATTTTGGATGCCTCCTTTCTGGTAGGGAGGAACTGATACTTGGATTGCTGAGAAAATGCCATATGGAGAGTTAAAGAACAAGTAAAATCTGTTCTTTCTGTTTGATTTTTAAAATTATACCTTTAATTTTTTCAAATATTAGGATTAAAGGATGAGCTCTGATAATCTTCTATAAAATAAAACCCCTTCAAATCCACATAAACAGGCAACATTTTCAACAAGCATGATGAGCAAAATGAGTTTCCAGTATGAATTGGAAAAACCCAGTCAGCTGATTTCTTGACCCTCAGCTCCCTGGAGAGTGCCATTCTTGTCTGAGCCCTGCTGTGGGAACTGCGCCTGCTGACCATTGCTCAGCTTAGGTGTTTCTTCTGCAGTGTCTGTCATACCTCAGATGAATGAAAGTGGGAGCATTTCATTTTTCCCATTTCTTACAGGATTTACCCATCAGTTTATTCTGACAAAGAATTGCTGTACCATCATATTTTTCTTTCTGTCTGACAAAATACAAGTTGCAGTTAAACTAAGCTTAATCCATTCTGTTTCTTGGTATTCCAAGTTTTTCTTAATTTCTGCTTTAAAATTGAAAGTGAACGCAGTCTTAATGAAGGCTTGTTTTTTGACATCCTGAGTTCTCTACGCCAGGTGTATTAAAGAGTGGTCTTTTCTAAGAAGCGACTGTTTCATTGTGTCTTTTTTCAGATAGCTTTGGCTCTGCGGCACTGTCACTTGTTAAACATTGCGCACAGAGACCTCAAGCCTGAAAATCTGCTTTTTAAGGATAACTCTTTGGTGAGAAGACTGTTTTTCTGCATTTTAGTGCTGCAACTCTTAACATAGTTCAGGAGTGGGTGTGTTTGGAGCGCTCTGAATTCATGGTGAAAAAGCTTTAAGCCAAAGTGCTTCAAACAGCTTATTTCTTCAACTCGTTCCCTTGCTAGAGGCTCAGAGAAGCTGTACTACTGTACTCCCGGCATTGATAATTTTGGATGATACTGATATGTATTTGTGGGACTTAATGATTTTGGATATTATTTGGAGGACCTTTGGGAAGGGGCAGGAATCTGTATGCTGTTATATATTATCTCGTTTCATTTGCTGTTTTCCCTTTCAGCTCTGTCCCCTGCCCCATGTCTCACCAGATAAGTTGCTCTGTCTATCATGAAGCTTATGGCAGATATTAAAAGTGAAGTAGCATCCCAGATTGATGAGAGGTGATGGGCTTATAGAGTGAAGGGTCCCTAGGCCAAGACCTTGACGTTAGTGCTGCCCTTACAAGTTCTAAAGCAAAAATAGCTGTGTGAGTGGGTAGGAATTCCTTACTTCTGCATTACTAAGGACAGTTCCTCAGTGTGAATCATTGTCTCCAGACCTGGGGACATGTTATTTTCATAAGTTCGCATCTCAGCTGGAAAGAAACTTGTTAGATCTCAGGGTAACATGTCTTACACCTGGATTTTCCTTTAATGTTTACTGAGCACTCTGGAGCAGTGACTCCTTTTTTTTTTAATTTCAGGATGCCCCAGTGAAGTTGTGTGACTTTGGATTTGCCAAGATTGACCAAGGTGACTTGATGACACCCCAGTTCACCCCTTATTATGTAGCACCCCAGGTAAGCATGTGCGGTTTCTGTCCTAAGATCTGTCACCAAGCTGCCCATCAACTCGTGTTCCTTCTATTCTACAGCACAAGTAGGCATATATTACAGATGGGAGGGGGAGAACTTAGCTTTAGAAACCTACAGATTGCTTTATTTGGTGTAGATCTTTTATTCTTTTAAAATCAACTTTAGCCAGGTGCGGTGGCTCACGCCTTTAATCCCAGCACTTTGGGAGGCTGAGGCGGGTGGATTACAAGTTCAGGAGATGGAGACCATCCTGGATAACACGGTGAAACCCTGTCTCTACTAAAAAAAATATAAAAAATTAGCCGAGTGTGGTGGCGCACACCTGTAATTCGTGCTACTCAGGAGGCTGAGGCAGGAGAATCGCTTGAACCTGGGAAGTGGAGGTTGCAAGGAGCCGAGATGGCACCACTGCACTCTAGCTTGGGCGACAGAGCGAGACTCCGTCTCAAAAAAAAATAAATAAAATAAAATAAACTTTATTGAGGTATGATTTAGAAGTATGATTTACATACAGTAAAATACCTCCACTTCAAGGAGAGTTTGATGAGTTGTGACAAATATATACCCCATATGGCGACCACCACATTGAAGATGTGGAACACGCCCCTCACTTCACAAGCTGCCTGTGCCACTTTGCAGTCAGTCCCCTCCCAACTTAACCCCTGGCCCTAGGCAACCACTGACATGCTTTCTGTCATTATTGGTTAGTTTTGCCTGTTGAAGAATTTCAGAAAAATGTAATCGTGGACTTTGTATGCTTCATTTCTTTTGCTTAGCATGTTTTTGAGATTTGTCCATGTTCCTGCATTTATCACTCGTTAATTCCTTTTCATTGCCAAGTAGTATTTCATTATATACCTAAGCTGCATTTGTTTTTTCCATTCACTGACAGGATTTTGGGTTGTTTCTCATTTTTGGCTATTATGAAGAAAGCTGCTAGGAACACTTCTTTTACAGTTTTTGGGGGACATGTTCCCCCATGCCCATATCTTTTTTCCAAAATGGCTATACCATTTTATGCGTCTACCAGCAACGTATAGAGTTCCAGTCATTTCACATTTTTACTAACGCCTCATGCTTGTTGCTTGTCAGCATTTGTCATCTTAGTCATTCTGGTAGCGGGCAGAGTATTACTTCATTATAGTTTTAATCACGACATTGTCCTGATGGCCACTATTTTGGAGCACTTTTTGTACATGTGTATTGGCCATTCTGTTGTAAGTATGGGCATTCATCTTTTGCCATTTTGTTATTGTTGGTTTCTTGTTAAAGAATTGAGGTATAAGAATTTTAAAATATTCTGGACACAGGTTCTTTGCCATATGTATGTTGTATTCTTACTGCTGCTGTAACATATTGTCACAAACTTAGTAGATAAAAACAACAGAAATGTATTATCTTATACTTCTGGAAATGAGAAGTCTGAAATGGTACTCAGTGCTATAATCAAGGTGTCAGCAGGGCTGTGTTCCTTCTGGAGGCATTTCTTGCCTTTTCCAGCTTCTAGAGGCTGCCTACATTATTTGGCTTGTAGCCTCTTCCTTCATCATCAGAGCCAGTAGCATAGCATCTTCCAATGAGTGTCTCTCTCTATGACTTTGACCCTCTTGCCTGCCTCTTATAAGGACCCTACTGATCACATTGGCCTTACCTAGATAACTCCCCATTTTAAGATTCTTAACTTAATTGTTCTGCAATACAAGGTAAAATAATCCCAGGGATTATAACATGGACATCTTGGGGGGCCATTATTCTGCCTTCCATATATATATCATGAATATTCATCTCAGTCTGTGACTTGCCTTTTAATTTTCTTAATGGCCTTTGAATAGCAGAAGTTTTGAATTTTAATGAAGTCTGTTTCACCATTTTTTTTTTAATGCTTAGTACTTTTTGTTCCTAAGATCCACAAGCATAAATATTTTCTCTGATGTTTTCTTATAAGAGGTTATAGCTTTAGCTTTTACATTTGGGTCTGTAATTCATCTGAGTTTGTGTGTGTATGAAATGAGAGACCAGGTTCTTTTTTTCCCCCTTAAGGGTGTCAAGTTGTTGCAGCATCATTGGTAAAATGTTTTTTACAAATCATCATTTGTAAAAGGATTTGTAAAAGGATTGCATCATTGAATTGCAGTTTTTTGTTTGTTTGTTTGTTTGTTTTTGAGACGGAGTTTCATTCTTTTTGCCCAGCCTGGAGTGGTGCAATGGCGCGATCTCGACTCACTGCAACCTCTGCCTCCCGGGTTCAAGGAATTCTCCTGCCTCAGCCTCCTAAGTAGCTGGGATTACAGGAGCCCGCCACCATGTCCGGCTAATTTTTTGTATTTTTAGTAGAGACGGGGTTTCACCATGTTGGCCAGGATGGTCTTGATCTCTTGACCTCGTGATCCGCCTGCTTCGGCCTCCCAAAGTGCTGGGATTACAGGCATGAGCCACTGCGCCTGGCCTGAATTGCAGTTTTGTTGAAAACCAGCTGGCCATATATCTGTTGGTCTTTTCTGGATTCTATTCTGTTTGTTTAATATATGTATGTGTCTATAGCAAGAGCATCTGCATTATTGTAGCTTTATATTATATCTTGACTTCAGATTCATTCTTTTTCAAAATTGTTTTGGCTATTCTAGATCCTTTGCATTTCTCTACATTTTAGAATTCACTTCTGTATAACAGAAAAGCCTCCTGGGATTTGACTGGGGTGGTATTTAATCTATAGGTGAATTTGGAGAGAACTGATATCTTAACAATATAAGTCTCCCAATCGATGAACAAGGTATATATCTCTCCATTTGTTTAGGTCTTTAATTTTCCTAAAAAATGTTTATGCTTCTTAATGTTACAGGTCTTGCACATATTTTCTTAAATTTATCCTTAAATTTTGTTTTTGGATGCTGTTGGAAATGATATTGTAAAACATTTCAGCTGGGCGTGGTGGTTCACGCCTGTTATACCAGCACTTTGGGAGGCTGAGGCAGGCGGATCACCTGAGGTCGGGAGTTCGAGACCAGCCTGGCTGCCATGGTGAAACCCCATCTTTACTAAAAATACAAAAATTTGCTGGGCGTAGTAGCCGGTGCCTGTAATCTCAGCTACTTGGGAGGCTGAGGCAGGAGAATCTCTTGAACCTGGGAGGTGGAGGCTGCAGTTAGTCGAGATCATGCCATTGCACTCCAGCCTGGGTGACTAGAGTGAAACTGCGTCTCAAAAAAAAAAAAATTCATTTTCTAATTTTAACTAGTTTATAGAAATACTAGTGTTTTTTGTTTGTTTGTTTTGGGTTTTTTTTTTTTTTTTTGAGATGGAATTGCACTCTTTGTTGCCCAGGCTGGAGTGCAGTGGCGCAATCTCAGCTCACTGCAACCTCTGCCTCCTGGGTTCAAGCAATTCTCCTGTCTCAGCCTCTGGGATGACAGGCGCCCGCCACCACACCTGGCTAATTTTTATATTTTTAGTAGAGACAGGGTTTCACCATGTTGGCCAGGCTGGTCTCGAACTCCTGACCTCAGGTAATCCACCCACTTTGGCTTCCCAAAGTGTTGGGATTACAGGTGTGAGCCACTGCCCCCAGCCATACTAGTGACTTTTTTTTTTTTTTTTTTTGAGATGGAGGCTTGCTCTGTTGCCCAGGCTGGAGTGCAGTGGCGCAATCTCGGCTCACTGCAATCTCCGCCTCCCAGGTTCAAGCGATTCTCCTTCCTCAGCCTCCCGAGTAGCTGGGACTACAGGCGCCCGCCACCACGCCCGGCTAATTTTTTTTCATATTTTTAGTAGAGACGGGGTTTCACCTTGTTAGCCAGGATGGTCTCAATCTCCTGACCTCATGATCTGCCTACCTTGGCCTCCCAAAGTGCTGAGATTACAGGCGTGAGCCACTGCACCCGGCCCATACTAGTGATTTTTGTATATTGACTTTGTGTCTTGGGACCTTCCTAAATTCATTTATTAAATCTAGTAAATTTTTTGTAGATTTATTAGGATTTTCTTTTTTTTCTTTTTCTTTTTTGAGAGCCTAAAAGTGGGCATGCCTCTTCTGTTGCTCGGCCTTTAGTGTTGGGTTTGAGGGTTAAATCAGTCTACTCAAAAGTTGAGCTGAGTGTGAGTTTTGTTGTTGCTATCGTTGTCTTCAGTGCCTCAGTGGCATGGGATTCCTGTTTTGTTACCTTATGGTTAGGTGGGATCTGAAATGCCATTTTTTTTAAAATTTAAAAAAAATTTTTTTAAAATATTCCACTTCTACCCTCAGTCTTGGCCTTGCTAGTGCACCTGTACCTCAGAGGGGATCTCTCTTTACAGTCTTGGCCCCCCCTTAGCAATAGATTGCTGTCAGTTACTGCTTGGTCCCTGCAAGCCTGCAGAAAGGGAGATGGCAATGGGGGACCGAGAGGTATCTGTTTCTCTGCTGTTGGGCAGGACCTGTGTTCTTGAGTCTCATGAATATCTGGTGGAAGTCTGTGCAGAAGAGTATGGGAGCAGGCATGAGTCTTCCTTGTTTGTATGGCTCCTAGAGGGTCTGTACTCTTATCCTAGCCCACATTTTGCCTTTAGCAGTTTGTTAAAAACCTCGCTGAATTCTTTTTACCCAAATGGCATGTGATATCACTTCCTCCTGCGCTCTGCCATAGGTGAGCCAGCTTTCACTCCCCATCTCTCCTTGGAAGGGCCTGACTTAAAGATTTCCGAATAATTGGTTAACCTGAGACCTGATCTTTGATGGGTTCAAAAAAAGTGATGGGCCGGGCGCAGTGGCTTACCCCTGTAATCCCAGCAGTTTGGGAGGCTGAGGGGGGTGGATCACTTGAGGTCAGGGGTTCAAGACTAGCCTGGTGAACATGGTGAAACCCCGTCTCTACTAAAAAGACAAAATATTAGTCGGGTGTGGTGGCAGCCACCTGTAATCCCAGCTTCTCGGGAGGCTGAGGCAGGAGAATTGCTTGAACCTAGGAGGTGGAGGTTGCAGTGAACAAAGATTGAGCCATTGCACTCCAGCCTGGTGACAGAGCGAGACTCCATCTCAAAAAAAAAAAAAAAAAAAAAGGATGATTTTATAATTTATCTTTGACACTTTCCAGCTTTCTATATCCTAGCAGAAACAGAAATCCCAACAATTTGGGTGGAAGGAGGGTGAGGATCAAAAAACTACCTATGTGGTATTATGCTTATATAAAACCTGGGTGATGAAATAATCTGTATACCAAACCCCTGTGAAGACACTGCAGTTCACCTATATAATTAACATGCATAAAGCACATGTACCCCTGAACCCAAAATAAAAGTTAAAAAAAAAAAGTCCCAACAATTTGATTATGTATGCATTCTTGTTCCTTTGTTTTTCCTGCCAGGGATCTCTTGAGCTCCTGGGATCTGTTGGTTTATGGTGTTTATCAAATAAACACCATATCAAATAAAAATTAGGAAATTTTTCAGACATCATCTCTTCAACGATTTTTCTACTCCTCTACTTGTTTTCTGAGACTTCCAATCAATGACATATATATTAGACTGTACAGGGAACTGGAGTTCTGATCTTTTGTATTTTCATCCTTTTTTCCTTTTCTTTCATCCTTTTTTTTCTTTCTGCTTTCCCTTCCCTTCTTCCCTTCTGATATATACTCAATAGTGGCACTGCTGGATGATAAGGTATTTCTAGTTTTAATTTTTTTAGGAAGCTTCCCACTGTTTTCCATAGTGGTCATACTAATACACATTCTTACAGTGTACAAAGGCTCCCTTTTTTCCACATCATTGTTAACACTTGTTATCTTTTATCTTTTTTAATAGCCACTGTAAAAGGTGTGAGGTAATAATTTCATTGTGGTTTTAATTTTAATTTTAATTTTTTTTTTTGAGATGGAGTCTTGCTCCTGGCACAAGTTGGAGTGCAGTAGCACGATCTCGGCTCACTGCAACCTCCACCTCCCGGGTTCAAGCGATTCTACTTCCTCAGCCTCCCGAGTAGCTGGGATTAAAGGCATGTGCCACCACGCCCGGCTAATTTTTTGTATTTTTAGTAGAGACAGGGTTTCGCCATGTTGTTCAGGTTGGTCTTGAACTCCTAACCTCAGGTGATCCACTCGCCTTGACCTCCCAAAGTGCTGGGATTACAGGTGTGAGCCACCATGCCCAGCCTGTTTTTTTTTTCTTTAATATTTCTGGCCTACAAATGACTCCATTTGCTTATTTTTTTAATGCAGTGTATGAAAGTTTCAGGTCTTCTGCATTTTCACCTGCATTTGGTATGGTCAGTCTTTTTTATTTTGGCCATTTTAGTGTATATGTAGTGGTATTTCTTTGTAGTTTTAATTTGCATTCCCTAATGAGTAATGATGTCTGCCATCTTTTCTTTTGTGTACACATTTGTGTATGCACCTGCCTTCTGTATATTTTCTTCGGGAAGTGTCTGTTCAGACCTTTTCTGTATTTACAAAATTGGGTTGTTTATTTTCTTATTACTGAATTTGAGAGTTCTTTGTATATTTCAGATATGAATTCCTTTCTTTTTTTTGTTGGAGACAGGGTCTTGCTCTGCCACCCAGGCTGGAATGCAGTGGCACAATCATGACTCACTGTAGCCTCAACCTCCTGGGCTCAAGCGATCCTCCCACCTCAGCCTCCTTAGGAGCTGGGACCATAGGCATACGCCACCACATCTGGCTAATTAAGAAATTTTTGGTTTTTTTTTTTAAGAGATGGGGCCTCACCACATTGTCCAGGCTGGTCTCGAACTTCTGGGCTCAAGTGATCCTCCTGCCTCAGCCTCCTAACTTGCTGGGATTACAGGCATGATCTACCACGTCCAGCTGACTCTGACTCTTTTTTTTTTTTTTTTTAAACTCTCCCAGGTTGTCAAGAGATGGATACGAATCTTTTATTAGATCTGTGCTTTGCAAAGATTTTCTCCCAGTCTGTGGCTTATCTTTTCATTCTTTAACAGTGTCTTTTGAGGAGCAGAAAATTCTAATTTTCATGAATGCCAGTTTATCAGAAAACTTTTTTAAGGCCTGTGCTTTTGGTTTCCTATGTTGAAAATCTTTGTCTCACCCAAGATCAGTCTCCTATGTTTTCTTCTAGAAGTTTTATATAGTGTTAGGTTTTACATTTAGGTCTGTGATCCATGTTGAGTCAATTTTTATATAATGCATGAGGTATGGATCCAAGTTCACTTATTAGCATTTGGATGTCCAGTTGTTCTAGCACCATTTGTTGTTCTATTTATTTATTATTTATTTATTTATTTATTTATTTATTTTGAGACGGAGTCTCACTCTGTTGCCAAGTTGGAGTGCAGTGGCGGATCTCAGCTCACTGCAACCTCCGCCTCCAGGGTTCAAGCCATTCTCCTGCCTCAGCCTCCCGAGTAGCAGGGATTACAGGCACCTGCCACTACGCCCGGATAATTTTTTGTATTTTTAGTAGAGACGGGGTTTCACCATGTTAGCCAGGATAGTCTCGATCTCCTGACCTCGTGATCCTCCTGCCTCGGCCTCCCAAAGTGCTGGGATTACAGACGTGAGCCACCATGCCCCGCCTTAATTTTTATCTTTTAAGCCCCACCCTCAGAAGCAACCGTTCATGAAAAAGGCTGTCTTTTCTCTGCGGCATTGCTTTTGAGCCTTTGTCAAAAATCATGGAGCATATATGTGTGAATTTATTTTTGGACTCTTTATTCTATTCCATTGATCTCTTTATCTATCTTTACCCCAATACCACACTGTCTTGATTACTGTAGCTTTATAATAATTCTTGAAATCAGGTAGCGTTGGCCCTCCACCTTTGTTCTTCATTTTCAAAGTTGTTTTTGCTATTCTGACTTCCTTGCATTTCCATGTGAACTTTACAGTCAGCTGTTGATTTCTATAAAAAAGCCTACTGGGAGTTTTGACTGGGGTTGTTTTAGAGCTATCATTCAATGTGGAAGTGCTGAGATTTTAGTGATATTGAGTCTTCTGACCTATGAGCAAGCTGTATCACTCCATTCATGTTTGTCTCATAATTTTGCTCAGCAATATTATGTAGTCAGTTTATAGGTCTCTCACATATTTGTGAGATTTATTCTTAATGCTTGATATTTTTTCTGCTGTTGTGAATGGTGTTTTATTTTCGGGTTTAATTAACTCACTTTGTTGTTCTTGTGTAAAAGCTCTATATGGTGGTCGTGGTTAGAGCCCAGGTCCTCTGCATGGAGACTTTAGAGTAGGTTTTTTTTTTTTTTTTTTTGAGATGGGATTTTGCTCTTGTTGCCCAGGCTAGAGTGCAGTGGCTCAATCTTGGCTCACCACAACCTCCACCTCCCGGGTTCAAGTGATTCTTCTGCCTCAGCCTCCCATGTAGTTGGGATTACAGGCGCCCACCACCATGCCCGTCTAATTTTTGTATTTTTAGTAGAGATGGGGTTTCACCATGTTGGCCAGGCTGGTCTCGAACTCCTGACCTCATGATCTGCCTGCCTTGGCTTCCCAAAGTGCTGGGATTACAGGTGTGAGCCACCGCACCCAGCCTAGTGTAGTTTTTTATAAGATGGTCAGTGAATTTCTATTAGGTGAGATAGCTGCAGGTCTTAGAGGTGGCACTGAAGATGGCCTTTGCAAAGTTGCCCAAGATGGCACTGCAGCCCCTGGCTAAGTGGTAGCAGTTGTATCCCATCCGCCCCAGCTTCATGGGCACAGGGGCTGAGACAGTATCAAGTAGGTCGGGGTGTGGGATGAAGTCCCCTTGCACAGAACCTCAGCATCCTGTGACTTTTCAAGGAACAGTGTGGGGCTGCTAATGTTGTGACCCCCTCTGGAGTTCCTCCTCATGGGACATTAGAGAGGTTGGCCAGGATAATGGTCTCACGGTGGCAGTGGCTACCTCCTTGGAGCACTTAACACCTAGACTGACATGACTGTCATAGTCCCTGATGGTAACAGATGGCTTGAAGCTCATCTGCTGGACAGATCTGCTTTCGCATAGGCATAAGGGCTATCCCCAGGAAAAAGTCAGTGATCTCAGATTCCTTGATGGGCAGGAAGAAGAGAGGAATCTCCTCTAGGAACTTCATCTTCATGTCCTTGACCTGAGTATTTCCCTGGCTGATGGATAAATTACTGGTTGTAAGAAAAAAACGTTTTTGGAAGTGTAGTGTTTATGTGGAGTTTTTTTTCGATGGCTGATTGCCAGTTGTTTACCTCCTTCAGTCTCATAGTAGCCTGTCTCAAGGCAGGTTATCGGTGGTGTGATTTTCATTAAATGGTCCCCTTTGGTCTGACTCTTGACAGGTACTGGAGGCGCAAAGAAGGCATCAGAAGGAGAAATCTGGCATCATACCTACCTCACCGACGCCCTACACTTACAACAAGGTACAGGAAGAGATATTTCTCTTCATTTGACAGATGCAGCCCCTCTCCTTTAGTGAGGTGTTTGTGGCCCTCTGGGAGTGTGGCCAATTCCTTTCTCACCCCTTAATATTCCTGCCCCAAAGAAGCAGCCAGACTCGCAGAAAAGTATTTGGAATTCAAGTTTTTGTTTGATGAAATATCAGATAAGGTTCAGCCAGACTCGCAGAAAAGTATTTGGAATTCAAGTTTTTGTTTAATGAAATATCAAATAAAGTTTGTACCCAATTAGCTTTTGCAGTGGTAATTAGGGACCGTGATCATCAGTCAGGTTATTTTTTTGACTGTCCATATGGTCCACTGGCCACACTGAAAACATATGGTTGGCTTGTGTTTTTGAGGTGGAGGCCATTTCTGAGACACAGACGCTAGAGAACACTTTGTGGTCATTTATGGCACCATTCTTTGTTACCCCATAAAACACCCAGCTTAGAACAGTATCTGATACACATAGCAAGGGCTCCTAAGTGTTACTTGGTAATATTACGGTTCTTAATCTGTAGCCCACATTTTTTTTGTTGTTTTTTTGAGACAGAGTCTCGCTCTGTCGCCCAGGCTGGAGTACAGTGGTGTGATCTCAGCTCACTGCAACCTCCACCTCCTGTGCTCAAACGATTCTCCTGCCTCAGTCTCCCAGGTAGCTGAGATGATGGGTGCATGCCACCACACTCAGCTAATTTTTGTATTTTTAGTAGAGTCGGGGTTTCTCCATGTTGGCCAAGCTGATCTCAAACTCCTGACCTCAAGTGATCCGCCCGCCTCGGCCTCCCAAAGTGCTGGGATTACAGGCGTGAGCCACCGCACCCAGCCTGTAGCCCACATATTGATCCTGTCTGTTCCTTTTTTTTTTTTTTTTTTTGAGACAGAGTCTTACCCTGTCGCCCAGGCTGGAGTGCAGTGGCACAATCTCGGCTCACTGCAACCTCCGCCTCCCGGGTTCAAGCAATTCTCTTGCCTCAGCCTCCCAAGTAGCTGGGATTACAGGCGCCTGCCACCACGCCTGGCTAATGTTTTGTATTTTTAGGAGAGATGAGGATTCACCATGTTGGCCAGGTTGGTCCTGAATTCCTGACCTCAGGTGATCCACTCGCCTCGGCCTCACAAAGAGCTGGGATTACAGGCGTGAGCCACCGTGCCCAGCCGATCCTATCTGTTCTAAAGCACAAGAGGTTTAGGGCCTCTAGAAATAGGCCCTGGAGTCACTGAGTAAGTAGATCAGAAAAAAGATGCTACTTGGGGACTTGAGGCTAGATATAGATGACAGAAGGGGCTGAGAATGGTAAAAAGGCAGTAGGCTGGGACACTTGCTGTGGCTCCACTACTCTTAATCTGTGTAACATTGGTGAGGTCACTTGGTTTCACTCTTGACAGAGGACCTGAGAGATGACATGATCTCTGCAGTATTAGTTCCCTTTCTGGAAAGTGAGGGATTGAAGGTCCCTTTCCACCCCTGTAATTTTATTCTGTGATTCTGTTCTACAGCATGGGCTGTGTCATCCACAAATATCTACTAGTATAATGTGAAAACATGGGCAGGCCTGGCGCAGTGGCTCACGCCTGTAATCCCAGCACTTTGGGAGGCCGAGGTGGGCGGATCACGAGGTCAGGAGATCGAGACCATCCTGGCCACTGTGGTGAAACCCCGTCTCTACTAAAAATACAAAAAATTAGCCGGGTGTGGTGGCGGGCGCCTGTAGTCCCAGCTGCTTGGGAGACTGAGGCATGAGAATCGCTTGAACCCAGGAGGCAGTGGTTGCAGTGAGCTGAGATCGCGCCACTGCACTCCAACCTGGCGACAGAGTGAGACTCCGTCTCAAAAAAAGAAAATACAGGCGAGAGTACCTGAGACACCCCATTATTCAGCCTTTATGCAGAGCACCGCACAGCTGTGGTGTGAGGGGGAGTGTGGGGCCCCAGTGGCAGGCTCACGGGGCTGCCATCTTAGGCAGGCACCTCTTTTATCTCGCTGTTCAAGAAAGGCTTGAATTGAAGCCTCTGCAAACCCAGTTTTCAAAGCAAATGGAGCTGCATTTAACTAAAATAGGAGTCCTTTATGCAGTGATATAGGCCATGGAGTCACCTTACTACCTGCAGACATGGTAGTTGGTAGCAGTTTTCTTTTTTTCACAGTATCTTCCCCCAGAATGGTGTAAGAGCTTGCAAATGGACCTAGTGAGTCCTTCATGGTCAAAGGAATGCATTTAGACCTTCTGTTCTTCCCTCCAGTCCTCTCCATGATCTGTGTCAAACTGCTTTGGGCCTTTATGAAGTGGCCTGTGCTGTACTGTAGGTGAGCCTACCTGTCTCTTAGTTGCTTTGTTTCTACATAGAGGTTTCACAACCAGCTGGTTTATATTTATTTCTTTTCTGGCTGGGGCAAAGCATCCTATACCTGTACACAGGGATCAGATAGGTGCTTGGGCCTAAAGAGTGAGAATGAAAGTACCTGTACATTTTATCCCAGACTGGCTTTGTATGATGGGATGCATGTATGTAGTATTGGCAGCTTATTGAAAATATGGAGAGAGGCCAGGTGTGGTGAGTCACGCCTGTAATCCCAGCACTTTGGGAGGCCAAGGCGGGCAGATCACGAGGTCAGGAGTTCGAGACCAACCTGACCAACATGGTGAAAGCCTATCTCTACTAAAAAAAAAATACAAAAATTAGCCAGGCGGCATGGTGGCACATGCCTGTAATCCCAGCTACTCAGGAGGCTGAGGCAGGAGGAATTGCTTGAACCTGGGAGGCGGAGGTTGCAGTGAGCTGAGATTACGCCACTGCACTCCAGCCTGGGCAACAGAGCAAGACTCTGTCTCAAAGAAAAAAAAAGAAAGAAAGAAAATATGGAGATAAAGACTAGTTCTCCTAAGACTTCCTTCAGCTTTCCTAGTCTCTGTTAAGTGACTCTAGTTTATATCAGCCTATATATTGCAGGGGCTATTCCTGAGCCTGTCATGGGGTGTTTATTTGGGGGCTCTGCTTCTGCTGTGAGTGACCATTTTCTTTTTTGCTTTCAGAGCTGTGACTTGTGGTCCCTAGGGGTGATTATCTATGTGATGCTGTGCGGATACCCTCCTTTTTACTCCAAACACCACAGCCGGACTATCCCAAAGGATATGCGAAGAAAGATCATGACAGGCAGTTTTGAGTTCCCAGAGGAAGAGTGGAGTCAGATCTCAGAGATGGCCAAAGATGTTGTGAGGAAGTGAGTTCACGGGCTGCTGGGCATGGAGGCCAAGGAGGCCTCCAGGTGGTGGAGCACAAGGGAATGTGGGTAGAGAAAAGTCACTGGTTTCCTAGGCAGGCTCCTCCCCGTTTTAATATCACAGAAATCTCTCTGGAGCCTGAGGTGACTGTTCTCAGTGTCCACACCTTGGTGCGAATGAAGCTTTCCTCCCTCCTGTTGCATCCCTAGACTTTGTCCCCAGGGTGTGAACCCAGGTCCCTCCATAGGCAGTCTCTGCACATTAATTCAAGACCCTAAATTATAGACCTGGTGTGCTGTCCTTCTTACCTGTGAGCTGGCATGTCATTTGGGACAGATACAATGCCAGGAGGTGAACTAGGTGCCGAGATGACAAACAGCATCCTTGGATGCTGTGGTTATGTGGGTTTGTCAGGCCTGGACCCCACCCTCCACCTTCGCGCTGCCAGTTGGTTGCTTTGAGATGGAGTCTCGCTCTGTTGCCCAGGGTGGAGTGCAGTGGTACAATCTTGGCTCACTGCAACCTCCACCTCCTGGGTTCAAGTGATTCTCCTGCCTCAGCCTCGGCAGTAGCTGGGATTACAGGAGCCCGCTAACACGCCCAGCTCATTTTTGTATTTTAAGTAGAGATGGGGTTTGACCATGTTGGCCAGGCTGGTCTCAAACTACTGATCTCAAGCGATCTGCCCGCCTCGGCCTTCCCAAGTGCTGGGATTACAGGCGTGAGCCACCGCACCCAGCTGCTCTGGCATATCTTAAGATGGGAAGATTTAGTCAGAATTAGGGCTAGTGAGTGGATGAGGGAGAGTTGATATTCAGAGTCTTTTGGTAGCTGTAGGACTAGGTAAGAAGTCAGGCCTAAATTAGAATATGTTTGTTTTTTCTGCCCACCTGTGTGGGAGGCTGGGTGCCCATGGACTTAGGCACTGCCCCTGTCTTCCCACTGCTGGGTCTTCACTGAGCAGTGTCTCCCTTGTTGGTCTCAGTTTCTTCCTCTATAATGGGATGAAGGTACATGTTTAGGGGCAACACCTGGGAGCTGTCTCCCAACAGTACAGCCATTTCTCCGTGGAAATTACTCCCTTTCAAAAGTAAGCTTGTCCTGTTGATTAGAAGGTGGGGGTTGGGGGCAGGTTCTGTGTGCTATAAAGAGGGACTGTTTTCTAAAATAGACAAGTACAAGTTTTTAGGAACGTGGGTGCAATGATTAAATCACCATCTGTCTTGACATGCTATTTCCTTGCTGTATTCCCAGCTATTTGACCAAAACCTCAATGTCCTGTAAGTAGTTCTTTGCCAGTTTTCTATAGAATACATTTCCTGTCCCTAGAGCAACACTGATTATCTTTTTGGTTTTGGGATCTTCCAGATAATCCTTTCTTTAGAATCTGAAGCCATCTGTTCAGAATGATCCAGAAGAAGGTGGCAGACAAGCTGAAGGAGCAGTTAGGCATGTTGTCCTGACATTTGTAATGAGAGATGGAGTTGGAAGGAGGGAACGGGCTGAGATGAGCTAGGAACCACATCAGTGGGAATGAACAAGATGGAAAGAAGCATGATCTGAAGGCAGACAGCACAGAAGCAACACCCTGGGCTTAGAAGGAAATGCCATCCCTGTCTCAGAGACTCTAGGTTTTTAGCTTTTGAATGTCTGTGGAATAATGGGCTCATGTCCTGCCATATGGTGACATCTAGGAGTTTTATATTGGGTAGCAACCTGCTTTTCCAGAACCTCATGACCCTTCAACTAATTCTGCAGCCACTATCAGCCAAAAAGAGCACTCTGAGTTCCTTTTGGAAGTTAAAGCCCATTGTCCTAGAAACCTCAGTATGGAGATTCAAGGTCTGAGGAACTATAAGCCATATGTAGGATTACCTTATTAAACCCTAGAACTCAAAAGTATCACTGGATTAAGCCCTTTTCTACCATTTTAATCTCACTTTTTCCAGTATACAAAGGACTGCCTCAAGCCATAGTACCCCTACAAGTGGTTGGAGACTAGAATCCCATCTGTGCTCTGCAGGTGGAAAGCCCAGGCTTGCAGAAGTCAGAAGTAACCAGAACTGTTTAGAGCCAGGTCCAGGAACTTCCTATGGCCTTTTGGTAGCAACTGTGCATGGCAGCCCTGTTGGCGTTTTCTCCACAGGCTCCTGAAGGTCAAACCGGAGGAGAGACTCACCATCGAGGGAGTGCTGGACCACCCCTGGCTCAATTCCACCGAGGCCCTGGATAATGTGCTGCCTTCTGCTCAGCTGATGATGGACAAGGTTTTGAATGATGTTTACTTTGTTGGCTGAAAAGACTGTGTTGGGAAGGAATGCTGGGGCTTGGCTCAGTGAGGGGTTAGAGGCAAAACAGTGCAGAGTACACGATCCTTCCCAGAGAAACATCTCTGGTTTCCTGAGAGTCAGGATCCAAAATAAGGAATTTCTTTCGGTAAAAGACCAAATCAAGGCCTGGTGAATATAAACTAAGGGAGCACTCAAAGGAATAGCCTCCATATTTCTGCTACAGGGCTGCGGGCACAGAACAGTTTAAGATACCCTCCCTTTCCCCAAGGGGTTTAAATAAGACTGGCTGGGAAGGCAAGGCCAATAAACATGAAACAAAGAGGGAACATTTCAAATATCAGAGCTTTGCATGTTAACTTTCCTGTGAATGCTGTGGGAATTCAGAAAAAGAGCACATCTTTGAAGGGATGTAATTTTCCCAAAGAGAAGGCAGAACCCCTCACATGTATTAACTGTCTTCTGTGTTGCAGCATCTGAGTTCTTTCTCATGTTCGGACATGCGCTGTCCTTGAAGAATTTGAGTAGACAGTGTAAACGCCCATGCGTGGCGAACAGCATAAGCAAAAAAACACATGCAAATACATCATCGGGAAAAATAATTTGGCCTCACTAATGGGAAGTTAATGAGATGGGTGTGGCAGGGCCAGGCTTTGCAAGTGGACAGAGGGGTTTAAGTCTTAGTGGGATGCAGCTGAGAGGCCATAGTAGCTTTTTGAGAAGAGATTTGCCACTAGGAAGGTATTTAGAGATAGTCAGACTTGGCGACTTGCAGACTTGCCAGCCTAATACTTCTGCAGTAATCTAGAAGTCGGAGGTGGCTGTGGGAGCAGAGAAGTAGAGGTGAATGAACAGGCTAAATATTTTTGAAGAAAAATTTCTACAGTTTTTCGTGATAGACTAGATATAAGGGGACAGTTGTGGCATATCTGGTGATAACATTGACAGATTAGGAAGGAGGCTGGTTTGGGTGAGAGGGAGTCTTTTAGGTTTTAGATATTGTTTGAGATGGCAGAGGAACATTCAAATGAATGAGATTTATAGGGTGGGACCATAGTGTGGCTGTGAGCTCAAAGCGGTGACACAGACTTGAGTGTTAACAGCTTTGAAGGGGTAGGGTGGAAGTGTTAGACGTCTCTTTCTAAGTTTAGCTGGAGCATGGAAGAAAAAGGAGAACTGGAAAGTACAGTTCTCTGCCTTCTCTTTGATTTGTGGGTGGTTGTCTTCCTGTTGTCCAGAAATGGTTTGGTCATTCAAAAATCCAAAGGGATTACTTAGATCCTGGTTGTCAGCACATAGAGGTTACTCAAGATCTTAAAAATGAGGAGATAAGGCCAGGCATGGTGGCTTACGCCTGTAATCCCAGCAGTTTTGAGAGGCTGAGGCAGGCAGATCACTTGAGGTCAAGAGTTCCAGACTAGCCTGGCCAACATGAGGAAACCCCATCTCTACTGAAAATACAAAAATTAGCTGGGCGTGGTGGCATGCGCCTGTAATCCCAGCTACTCTGGAGGTTGAGGCAGGAGAATTGCTTGAACCTGGCAGCGGCAGAGGTTGCAGTGAGTCAAGACTGCACCACTGCACTCCAGCCTGGGAGACAGAGCAAGACTCTCTCAAAAAAATTCTTGTTGTGAAAATTCAGGTGGTACAGCCGTGTTAAAAAGTAAAAGTTCCCTTTCATTCCCTGCCACAGTCACACCCCTCAGAGGTGAGGTAATCTATGGCTTGATGTATACTTCCTGATCGTTTTCTGGGATACACACACACACACACACACACACACACACACACACACACATTCTGTCCTTCTTTTAAAGTACAAAAATGGAAAAAAAAATACAAAAATGGGATCATATTCCTATGAAGCCTTCTGATGATTTCGTCTGCCCGTAGTGAGATTATACACTGTTCATAAAAGCACAAACTTCCAGAGTTCCAGACTCCATGACAGCTATTTCTCACTGTAAATTACTTGACTGGTTGTGGCCTCGGTCATGTGGCCTCAGCCTTGGCCATGTGAGATGGTCAGGGCTCTGAGCTGTCAGGGCTGAGGTGAATCAATACCGTCTGTAAGGCTTCTTGGGCAGCAGCCTGCCAGCCTTTCCGCTGATGTCCATATGTGCCTCTTTACACTTCCCCTCAGTAGTGGCTTTGAGTGGGGTTCCTGCTGGTATTTCTTACTCGCATTTCTGTCCCCCCACCAGGGAAGAAGGGCTAGTTGTTGTGTGACCTTTGGTTGGCCTGGTGTTTCCTGGTTCCTGTTGATCCATGGGGAAAAGTCCTTTGCCTTATCAAAATATTTATATTCCTTCAGCATAAGAGTGAAATTACCTTCTTAGTACTTTGAGCTTTTCCTTTCCACTTTCTTAGACTGGCTTTTTAGGTGCCCAGCAATGAATATGAAAAACTGACGGCAGTGTTTGCATTCAGGCAGTGGTTGCAGGAATCCAGCAGGCTCACGCGGAACAGTTGGCCAACATGAGAATCCAGGATCTGAAAGTCAGCCTCAAACCCCTGCACTCAGTGAACAACCCCATTCTGCGGAAGAGGAAGTTACTTGGGTAACTGAGCTTATTTCTTCGATTCTTCTTCATGGCTGGAATGGCTGAGTACTGGGTTCTGAAATTTAAGAAATTTAACTTGCTCAGCTAGGGGTCTTTAGCCTCTGAAGAGGGTGGAGAGGATAAGTTCTTTAAATAGTATCAGGAGTTGGACACTATTGTTATTTTTCTGATACATCTGTTGCCTTATGTTTAGAGGTAATATCTGTCCAGAGTTGGTTTTTGGGGTCTCACGTTGTCATTACCCCTCCCTCAAACTCTTAAAGCACCAAGCCAAAGGACAGTGTCTATATCCACGACCATGAGAATGGAGCCGAGGATTCCAATGTTGCCTTGGAAAAACTCCGAGATGTGATTGCTCAGTGTATTCTCCCCCAGGCTGGTAAAGGTCACACCATTTACTAATCCTCTGTGTGTCTGTGAGTGTGTGTGTGCAGGGGTGGGTGGGTGTATGCATGCACATGGCAAAAGGAATGGTTTAATTTTGGGTTGTCTGTTTCATCTTGTGTTATAAGAAAAGTACATTATATAAGGTAGTCTATGCCCACTAAAAAGATTGGACAGTGGGAGCTTAGAAATGCAGTTAAGTTCTGCCCCTCCTTTGTTTCTGTGGAATTTCTAGTTTAGACTTAATTGGCAGTGTCAGGTGCAAGCATGCAATTTTGTGTTTTCTTAGTTTGACAACAAGGGCACAGGTTGGGGGATGGAGAATGGAAAATGTGGGTAGGGTCTGAATCTCATTGCAGGCTGTTAACCATTTCCAGAGCCTTTAGAGTGCAAGGCTGCCATTAGCTCATAAATAAGAGAATACCTCCTTAGTTCAGAAGTGGCTCCTGCTGCTACTCATGTCATGGGCAGAGTGACTTACACGTGGGTCCTTTGGAGTGAGAGCTTTCTTTCGTTATGTTCTCTCTCCACTCATCGGCGGGTGAGGGGCTATTCTCAGCAGATAAATGAGATGCTTCACGTACTAGGCCAGAAAACAGTTGGGTTGACCTATCTATCTCCCTAGATTCCTTGGGTTTTAAGAGAACTCATGTAGTGTACCTCAGATAGCTTTCTAAAGTAAGAAATGAGCTTAGGGGAGAGAAAGTAGCCCACTCTCCCACTTTTTGGTCTTTGGTTGACCAGGTGTCTTTTGTTCAGCAATAGAGTCTGCCACAGCCTATTTCCCATCCCCTGGTGCTAAGACTCTGGGGCCATCAGTGGATTTGTATAAAGATGTCAGAGTAAAAAAGAGTCCACATACCAGATGCGGTCTACATAATGTAGGGACTAGCAGTAAAGCCCTTGTCTGGTGAAGTTTTGCACATTCAGTCAACATTTTTCAACCAGTTGGACATCACGTCCCTCCATCTCTCACACTAAAACCCCATGATGCTGCAGGAAAAATGCAAATTCCTCTTCATCCTTACCAATAGGAGAGAATGAAGATGAGAAACTGAATGAAGTAATGCAGGAGGCTTGGAAGTATAACCGGGAATGCAAACTCCTAAGAGATACTCTGCAGAGCTTCAGCTGGAATGGTAGGAGCCTTCATCAACTCCCTTCCCCAGGAATGCAGACAAGTGATTATGTTTAGAACATATAGGATCTCTTTGGGGCCTGAGCTGCGGCTGTTTTGAAGTGAAGTGAGGCTGGCTGGAGAGTGAGTGGAGCATTGTGGAATGGGGGTTAGCTCTACATTAACTGCCCAGGCATACCTGGATATCTGGCCCTTTCACTTATTTTCCGGAGTTCAAGTGAATTGTGTATTGCAGATTCAACACTAGAAAGCCCCCATCACACACCACTTGGGTAAAAAAAACCCCCAAATTTCAGAACTCCTCTCAGATACCAGGACTATTCACCAGGTCATTAAGAAGCAACAGATGCTGAAGGGGAGAAAGAGGACAAAGTGCCAGCGAGTCCACCCTGCTGATCCCGCTGATCTGCTTGGCTTAGAGAAGAGCTGTTTCACGAAAGAGGAGAAAGTTTGCCAAATCTACTGCTGGTTAAGTTTTTTTCCCGAAGCAAATAAGGTAGAGATGAATTTCTTGAACTGCCTTGTTTTTCTTGAGGCGGAGTTTCACTCTGTCCCTCAGGCTGGAGTGCAGTGGCGCAATCTTTGCTCATTGCAACCTCTGCCTTCCGGGTTCAAGTGATTCTCCTGCCTCAGCCTCCCAAATAGCTGGGACTACAGGCAAGTGCCACCATGCCCAGCTAATTTTTGTATTTTTAGTAGAGATGGGGTTTCACCATGTTGGCCAGGCTGGTCTTGAACTCCTGGCCTCAAGTGATCCACCTGCCTCAGCCTCCCAAAGTGCTGGGATTACAGGCGTGAGCCTCTGTGCCTGGCTTGAAACTGATTTTAATATTGTCTTTCCAGTTGAGCAAACTGTACTAGACTTATGCTCCAGGATGCTCAGGGAAGGGAGCAAACTGAAGATTTCAATGCCTCACTTGTTTCCGCGTTTTTTTGTTGTTGTTGTTTTTTGTTTTGTTTTGTTTTTTGAGATGGAGTCTCCCTCTGTTGCCCAGGCTGGAATGGAGTGGTGCGATCTTGACTTACTGCAACCTCCCCGTCCTGGGCTCATGCGATTCTCCCACCCCAGCCTCCCAAGGAACTGGGACTACAGGCACGTACCACCATGCCCAGCTAATTTTTGTATTTTTTTTTTTTTAGTGGAGACGGGGTTTCACCATGTTGGCCAGGCTCGTCTCGAACTCCTGACCTCAAGTGATCCACCCACCTTGGCCTCCCAAAGTGCTGGGATTACAGGTGTGAGCCACTGCACCTGGCCTGCCTTCTTGTTTCTTAGACATGCCATAAGAAATCTAAAGTGCTAGCCTGGCCATTCCCATTCTTGGAGGAGATTCACTTCCCTGGGATTTTTTTAAAGAAAAATTTGAGGGCCAGGCACGATGGGTCACGCATGTAATCCCAACACTTTGGGAGGCCAAGGCGGGCGGATCATGAGGTCAGGAGATCAAGACCATCCTGGCTAACACGGTGAAACCCCACCTCTACTAAAAATACAAAAAAAAAAAAAAAAAAAATTAGCCGGGCATGGTGGCATGCGCCTGTAGTTCCAGCTACTCAGGAGGCTGAGGCAGGAGAATCGCTTGAACCTGGGAGGCGGAGGTTGCAGTGAGCTGAGATCACACCACTGCACTCCAGCCTGGGCAACAGAGAGAGACTCCGTCTTTAAAAAAAAAAAAGGGAAAAAAAAACTTGAAATATGTCATTTTAGAAAAGTGATCACATATGAAATAACAGACTTAAGTGAATTTTCACAAAGTGAACACTCCTCTGTAACCAGCACCTAGATCATGTAGTAGAACATGCATCCTCTTCCAGTCACTCCCTCCCTCCATTCAAAGGTAATCACAGTCCTGATTTCTAGCACTGTAGCCTAAGTTTGCCTGGTTTTGTATTCTTTGTGAATGGAGTCAGATAAGTCTGTGTTCTTTTATGTCTGGCTTCTTTTAGTCAATTAAATTTTAGTCATTATATTTGTGACATCCATCCATGTTGTGTGTAGCAGCAGATCATTCATTTTCACTGTATGAATGTGTGCTATATTTCTCCATTCTACTGTTGAATGGACTTTAGGATTATTTCCAGATTTGGGGAATTAAGAAAAGGGCTGTGGTGAATACTCTTGCGAATGTCTTTTGATGAGCTCATTTATCTTACGTGTATAGGATTAGAATTGCTGGTTCATGGAGGTCTTCATCTGTCTGGCTTTAGTGGGTACTGCTACCAGTTTTTCAAAGTGAATTTATGAACTCCCACTAGCAGTGTTTGGGGGTTCTGGTTACTTCACGTCCACACCAACTCTTGCTATTGTCTTTTTAAAAAATCTTCGTTATCCTGGTTAGTTTGTAGGTGGTATTGCAATGTGGTTTTAGTTTGCATTACCCTTAAATGTACCCTTAAAACGTACTGATATACATTTTAAATGTTTATGGGCCAGTTAGATTTCCTCTTTTGTGAAGTACCTATTCAAGTCTTTTGCCCATTTTTTTTCACTGAGTTGTGTTTTTCTTATAGATGTATAGGAATTCTTTATATATTCTGGATATGAGTCTTTTGTCAGCTGTATGTATTACAAAGATCTTGTCTCTCTTTGTGGTTTGCTTGTGTGTTGTGAGCTTTGGATTTTTACTGCCAGGTTAGTGGAACTGTACAATTGCTACCTGAAAAATGGGGGATCTGAACTGCTTTTGATCAGTGGTGGGGGTGGTTCCCCCACTGGTGAGGGTGAATTTGATACTGGTAAGGTGGACCTTATTGGGTCTCTGTCAAGAGTCTGCCACCTCTCAAAGAATTTGAGGACTGACCTTGTTCTTTTTTTGCTTTCAGGTCGTGGATTCACAGATAAAGTAGATCGACTAAAACTGGCAGAAATTGTGAAGCAGGTGATAGAAGAGCAAACCACGTCCCACGAATCCCAATAATGACAGCTTCAGACTTTGTTTTTTTAACAATTTGAAAAATTATTCTTTAATGTATAAAGTAATTTTATGTAAATTAATAAATCATAATTTCATTTCCACATTGATTAAAGCTGCTGTATAGATTTAGGGTGCAGGACTTAATAATAGTATAGTTATTGTTTGTTTTTAAGAAAAGCTCAGTTCTAGAGACATACTATTACTTTAGGACTGTGTAGTTGTATATTTGTAAGATGACAGATGATGCTGTCAAGCAATATTGTTTTATTTGTAATAAAATATACAAAAATCACTTGCCAGCAGTAGAAAAAGGACCGACTATACCGACCTTTCTGATTAGTAAACAGTTGAATCAAGGACTCTGGATTCTGGTTTCAATTGCCCTGTGTGTTTATTTTCCACACCATTGCTAGATTAGCTCTACTGCCAAGACATTTTTGTGGCTGTCATTGCAGACTGCTTGCTGGAACTCACAGGAGGCACACTTGAGCTTGGGGAGCCAACTTCCATGATGGAAGAAGAGGGAGGTGAGCCCTCATTTCTCCTGCCCCCTAATTCCCAAGAGAAAAGCAGGAACATTTCCTTTTTGTCATATCTGTTAAAAGGGTACTGGTGTGTTTCTTAAATCTAACAGGGTTTTCTTTTGGGTTTATTCTTTTTTTTTTTTTTTTTTTGAGACAGAGTCTTGCTGTTGTAGTGGAGGCTGGAGTACAGTGGCACTATCTCCGCTCACTGCAACCTCCGCCTCCCAGGTTCCAGTGATCCTCCCACATCAGCCTCCCAAGTAGCTGGGATTACAGGTGCCCGCCACCACGCCTGGCTAATTTTTGTATTTTTAGTAGAGACAGGGTTTCACCACGTTGGCCAGGCTGGTCTTGAACTCCTGACCTCAGGTGATACGTCTGCCTTGGCCTCCCAAAGTGCTGGGATTACAGGCGTGAGCCACTGTGCCCGGCCTTGGGTTTATTCTTTCTTTATATGTTTGTTTGTTTGTTTGTTTTGAGATGGAGTCTTGCTCTTATCACCCAGGGTGGAGTGCAGTGGCACGATCTCGGCTCACTGCAACCTCTGTCTCCCAGGTTCAAGTGATTCTCCTGCCTCAGCCTCCCAAGTAGTTGGGATTACAGGCACCCGCCACCATGCCCGGCTAATTTTTGTATTTTTAGTAGAGACAGGGTTTCACCATGTTGGCCAGGCTGGTCTCGAACTCCTGACCATCCACCTCAGCCTCTCAAAGTACTGGGATTACAGGCATGAGCCACCAAGCCTGGCCTATTCTTTATATGTTTAACCGGAGCTTCCCTTTCCCCTTCCAGGAGGTCCTGCTTTGTCCTTTCCCCTTCCCTGCAGCCTTCACCAGCTCCATTACTCCTTATTTCTGTTCCCTGTTCCTCTGGTCCTGTTTTTGGAATAACTTGTCCGAGAAATTTACATATAATTAATTGAAGTGGGACTATTGGATTATCATGTAAGATGATCCAGTTTTGGTTTTTTTTTTTATAAGGCTGCCCTGTTTCTCTGTAATATGTCTGTCTGGGTTTTGTGTTGGCATCCTCTGGGCTGCATTTATCTTGTTTATTACCCTTCATTTTCAGGAAGCATGGTTTTGGCCCCGAGAGCAGCTGTTTGAAGGAAAAATAAGGCTAGGTCCTTTTTTAGTTTTCTGTTGTGAGTATGGGTTTCCATAACAAACCAATTTTCGTGTATATGTGTGTGTGTGTGTGTGTGTGTGTGAAGCAGTTTTTGGTGGGTACTTACGTTGGTACATAGAAAAGCTGGCAGGTAGACTCCAGCTCGCAGAGCAGAGGGAGAGGATAGTCATCTGTTATTCAATTTTTTCTCATCTCATTCTCTTCGATCAAAATTGATCTCACCAGCAACTTATTTTCTAACTCCTCCACTGTGCTGAGTAATTCCTCCACCCTGAATCTTCAGGGTGACATTTGGTTAGTATGCCCTGTATGTGTGTGACTGCCTGTGGGAATAGATGATAAAAAACAAGTGTCTTAAGAATTACCTTATTACATTGCTTCCTTTTTTTTTTTTTTTTTTTTTTGAGATGGATTCTTGCTCTGTCGCCCAGGCTGGAGTGCAGTGGCGCGATCTTGGCTCACTGCAAGCTCTGCCTCCCAGGTTCACACCATTCTCCTACCTCAGCCTCCTGAGTAGCTGGGACTATACAGGTGCCCGCCACCGCGCCCGGCTAATTTCTTTTTGTATTTTTAGTAGAGACAGGGTTTCACCGTGTTAGCCAGGATGGTCTTGATCTCCTGACCTCGTGATCCGCCCACCTCAGCCTCCAAAAGTGCTGGGATTACAGGTGTGAGCCACTGCACCCAGCCTACATTGGTTCCTTTTTATCTTGGAGAATTTAATTGAAAGATATTTTTTGAGATAAAGTTCACTAATCTTAGGTGACTGATAACTGTTATAAATGGATTTCCTGTAAGGAGAATATGTCTCCCCCCCACCCCCCACCCTGCTGCCACCAAGACAGAGTCTCGCTCTGTCCCCCAGGCTGGAGTGCAGTGGCTTGCTCTTGGCTCACTGCAACCTCTGCCTCCCAGGTTCAAGCGATTCTCGTGCCTCAGACTTCCAAGTAGCTGGGACTACAGGCACACACCACCACGCCCAGCTAATTTTTGTGTTTTTAGTAGAGACGGGGTTTCATCATATTGGCCAGGCTGGTCTCAAACTCCTGACCTCGTGATCCGCCCACCTCGGCCTCCCAAAGTGCTGGGATTACAGGCGTGAGCCACCGTGCGCGACCTGAATACTTTTCATGATGGCAAAATCTCACCGGCAACAGAAGAAAAACCAATGTTTTTAAATTTACTGACCAGAAAACTTGACTGAGAGTTGAATTAAGTGCCTGTTGTTGTGTTTTTCAGTGAAATGCAAATCTTACAGATCACTTCTTACAGTTAGGAATACTGCACTTGTTTGTGTAATATTAGAACAACTGTAGTTTTCCTATCTTAGGGCAGAGGTTCAGTATTCCATGGGGAGAAAAAAACAGTAATTATCTTTGTTACTCTTCTTCTTTAGAGGAATATTCTAGCATATCCATTATATCCATAACTTCTTAAATTTGTGACTTGGGTGTCTTCTAAAAAGGCTCAGGATGATTATTTTTTCCTTCAGTGTATGCTGAATTTTAGGTGCGATGGAAAAGGTATCCAAAGTGATACTCCCTTTGACTCTGAGCATCAGTTGCCCGTGTTTCAGTCACTTCAAGCTGAATTCATGCCCTCAATGTAAGTGCTGTGTCCAGACACATCCAAATGAGCACCAAGCTGGAAGTTTGTGAACACTCTGGAGGATGCCCCAGCTGTTGTAATGCAACAGCATACCTTGAAAAAAAACAGTAGCTCCCAAGGGACTCAGCATGGCTTGGTCTTCGAAGTGGAGTTTTGTTTGTGTATTCCTAGTCCAGCAGTAAATTCTGCTTTAACATAACTGTCAGGTTTGCTACTCGAAATTTGCACATAACTGGAAGTGAAACGATATCTTTCTCATATTTTTTGGCCTAACAAACACCTATACCTGTGGAAACATAACACTGTAAATATAATTCTTATAAAGCAGCAGGTTATGCTCTCCTGTTTGCCTACATGATTTATTAACCTTCTGCTTACTAAAGCCATTACTGGTCAATCAGATACTTTTAGACTTTACCACAGTTATAAAAGTCAGCTTGATGTAGTAAAAAAACTTGTCTCTCTCTGACTAATATGTATGAATATAGGAGAATCCCAGTCTGAATTTACTGTTTGAAACATAGATGAGGCTCAGCGTGGTGGCTCATGCCTTTAGTAATCCCAGCACTTTGGGAAGCTGAGGCGGGCAGATCACCTTAGGTCAAGAGTTCAAGACCAGCTTGGCCAACATGGTGAAATGCCGTCTCTACTAAAAATACAAAAATTAGCCAGGCATGGTGGCACATGCCTGTAATCCCAGCTGCTCGGGAGGCTGAGGCAGGAGAATTGCTTGAACCTGGGAGGCAGAGGTTGCAGTGAGTGGAGATCGCACCATTGCACTCCAGCCTGGGTGACAGAGCAAAACTCCGTCTCAGAAATAAAAAAGAGACGTGATCCTGCTATGTTGCCCAAGTTAGACTCAAGCTCCTGGGCTCAAGCAATCCTCCTGCCTCAGCCTTCTAAGTAGCTGGGACTACAGGAGCAAACCACTGTGCCTGGCAGGAATTACTCTTTAAAAAGAGTTTATGTTGCTTGTATTCATTTGAGAAAAAATGAGTTGAAGAAATGGTAATTGTTGGTCAAAGAAGCCAAAAGATTTAAATAAGGTCTTGTGTGTGGGTATGTGTATGTGCATGTATTTATTGAAGAAAATAAGTTTCAATTTGAGAATTAGAAAATTGGATATTTCATTTTAATTATTTATTTAAAGAGTAGAGTGTTCTTCCATTATTGAATCTTCTTTTATCCCACCAAATGGCTTAACCTAATTTGCGCTGCCTATTTTGGTTAAGAAACAGGGAAACACCCTAAAATCTGTGATAATTTTCAAAATACAATTTTAAGAAGCTTTGCGCTTACATAAATCACAAGAAATACAGCTGGAAATCATTTCACTTTTCTTGCTGTAAATTTTTTTAGTGGGTTTGTGACAGTATAAATTTTCTTGCTAGATGCTAATGATACATTGTATTATCTGTATTAGGAATTAAATATTTAATAGGAATAGTGAATAAATTGATCTGCTCTCATGCTGTTATCTAAGATCTTATGCTACCATTACATTCCTTTCTGTAGTCGTATCTCATATTTGAAAGGTCTCATGTTGTAAATATTTGACTTGCTGTAAAATTATACAAGATAAAAAATGTAGAGTTTTATTTTTCTTCATCTAGAATGCACAGAATAACTGCGTAAGGAATGGGTGCATAGGGCTTCTTTTCCTTTTAAATTTGTACTGCTAAATACACCAAGGAAATTGACATCAAAACCAAATTCAAGGACTTCCACAGACATTTCAGGTCAATTTTAGTTCCAAACCGAAGAAATCTTTTAAAAGTTCTTATATAGCCCAGTTTTCTTTTCTTGATGAAATGTTAACTAGACACCTGGTTAGTCAGCTTTTATTTTGACCCCACAGTTTTTTTTTTGAGACGGATTCTCACTCTGTTGCCCAGGTTGGAGTGCAATGGTGTGATCTCGGCTTACTGCAACCTACGCCTCCTGGGTTCAAGCGATTCTCCTGCCTCACCTTCCTGAGTAGCTGAGATTACAGGCGCCTGCCACCACGCCCCGCTAATTTTTGCATTTTTAGTAGGGACAGGGTTTCACCATGCTGGCCAGGCTGGTCTCGAACTCCCGACCTCAGGTGATCCGCCTGCCTCGGCCTCCCAAAGTGCTGGGATTACAGGGGTGAGCCACCGTGCCCGGGCCCCACACTTTGTTTTTATGTTAGGGCAGTTGGAGGAACTGAACTTTGATCCTGATCCTTTATATACTCCCATGGTGAAACTTGAGCCCATTTTACTTAACACAATATATCCGTGCATTAGGAAAACTTGGTAGAGAAGATTATATGCAGATATAAAATATCTAAACTCATTTGTTATGAACCAACGATAATGAGGGAAAACTTGGACATCCACATACAGATTTTCTTGAATTAAAGAAAAAAACCAGACACTGACAAAGGAGAGCTGAACTGATAAATGGTACCCTGAAAACTGCAGAAATGAGGGAAAGAGGCAGTGGGCCACAAAGAACTTTGTCCTTTTCAGAGATCCCCAGAGAAGCCCTGCCCCCTTCCCCCCACCCCCTGACAGAATGTTGTGTTTCAAAGAATGAGCAGATTAATGGATATCAAGTTGTGTGGCCTGAGCTGAGGATAAAGAATAATTTGCCTGAGGAGTTACAGTACTGGCTGGATCACTACAGGCCTTCTACTTGGAATATCTTCCCATGAAAGTAAAAGGAATATAACTAAGGAAGATTAAAGTTGTTGCTGTTGGAAGGAAGACATACTAAAGAAACTGCCGAAGGCCAGGAGAGAAGCAGGAAGAGAAACACGGCTTGAAGTTCTGTAAGAATCAGAGTTGGGCAAGAACTGCCAATAAGGGAGCCAGCGTAGATCTGAGTACTAAACACCTGAGCCTCCGAGGGTTTGTGTGCGAGGGAGAGCTCTGCTGATGGACATAGGCCCAGAATCATTAACTGATTTATTTGGGCCATGTCACTGGTGGCATTATTAAAAGACTCTGCCAACATCCTGCTTTATGGAAAAACCAAGTGGCCTTGGAAGAGGCTAAGATAAAGTTTCAAACTTGGGCTCCACAGAAGTGGAACTTAAGGCTGGGGCTAGTACCAGGACCTTCATGTATCAGGTTAGAGATTTTGATGCTTTTGGTGATTTTTGTGCCAAGCATGTACTGTCACCTGGGATCAATCTATTACTCTTTCTATGAAATAATTATTCCAAAGAGGCTGACAGTCCAGGGAGGAGATAGCCCAGTGGAAGGACTGTCCTACTTGTTACTTATGCAAGGCCAGAAGCACCTGGTTCATCTGAAGGTGAAGAGAAACCATTTTGTGAATAACTTTCCAGTCTACAGTTACCACAATGGCCTCCTGGGGCAAGAATCGCCTTTCATCTCACATGACTGCCACTATGAAGGCTACATAGAAGGAGTGTCAGGTTCTTTTGTTTCTGTCAACATCTGTGCAGGTCTCAGGGGCACATCCTCCTGATTAAGGAGGAAAAATCTTACAGCATTGAGCCCATGGACTCTTCAAGACGGTTTGAACATGTGTTATACACCATGGCACATCAAGCGTGAGTCTCCTGTGGTGTCTACTAGCTGGCAACAAGGGAGCAGGAAGCCTCATGATCTACAGGCACTGTCCTACTTGTGGTCACACAAAAAGTACGTGGAGATGTTTGTCGTGGTCAACAACCAGCGGTTCCAGATGTGGGGCAGTAACGTCAATGAGACGGTCCAGACAGTAGTGGATGTCATTGCTCTGGCCAACAGCTTCACTAGGGGAATAAACACAGAGGTGGTGCTGGCTGGAATGGAGATTTGGACCGAGGGGGACCTAATAGATGTCACAGTGGACTTGCAAATCACACTCAGGAATTTCAATCACTGGAGACAAGAGATGCTCTTCCATCGTGCAAAACACGATGTTGCCCACATGATCGTTGGGCATCACCCTGGACAGAATATGGGCCAGGCCTTTCTCAGTGGTGCCTGCTCAAGCGGTTTTGCGGCAGCTGTTGAATCCTTCCATCATGAAGATGTGCTGTTGTTTGCAGCCCTGATGGCCCATGAGCTCGGGCACAACCTGGGTATTCAGCACGACCACTCGGCCTGCTTTTGTAAAGATAAGCACTTTTGCCTCATGCATGAAAATATCACAAAAGAAAGTGGCTTCAGCAGCTGCAGCTCTGACTACTTCTACCAGTTCCTTCGAGAACACAAAGGGGCCTGCCTATTTAACAAGCCACGGCCCAGGGGCCGCAAGCGTAGGGATTCTGCCTGTGGAAATGGTGTGGTGGAGGACACGGAGCAGTGTGACTGTGGTTCTCTATGTCAGCATCATGCATGCTGTGATGAAAACTGTATACTGAAGGCGAAAGCAGAGTGCAGTGATGGTCCATGTTGTCATAAGTGTAAATTTCACCGTAAGGGATATCCTTGCTGTCCTTCTAGTCGTTCCTGTGATCTCCCAGAATTTTGCAATGGTACATCTGCATTATGCCCCAACAACAGGCATAAGCAAGATGGCTCAAAATGTCATACAATTTACGAGTGCCTTAAAGTTCATTGTATGGACCCTAATAATCAGTGCTTACAATTATATGGATATGGTGCAAAATCAGCCTCACAAGAGTGTTACAATTCAATGAACAGCAAAGGGGACCAATTTGGAAACTGTGGCATTTCTACCAGTCCTGGGTCACAATATGTTCGGTGTTCAGATGGTAATATATTTTGTGGGAAACTTATATGTTCAGGTATTACAGGCTTACCAAAAATCAATCTCCAACATACAATGATTCAGGTCCCTCAGGGAGATGGCTCATGTTGGAGCATGGATGCCTATATGAGTACTGACATTCCTGATGAAGGAGATGTGCACAATGGCACTTACTGTGCACCAAACAAAGTCTGCCTGAATTCCGCCTGCACAGATAAAACCCCAGTGATTTCTGCCTGCAACCCAGAAAAAACGTGTAATGGGAAGGGAGTTTGTAATGATTTAGGGCACTGCCACTGTAATGAAGGGCATGCCCCCCCTGACTGTGTTACTGCAGGAAGTGGAGGTAGTGTGGACAGTGGCCCTCCTGGTAAGCTAGGTGGGACACCTTCAGGAGAAGGTGAAAATCACAATATGACTCATTCCAGACGTGAAGAACATGCTGTAGACATGATGATATTATCATTCATTATACTTTTTATAATATTATTATTAAGTACAATTATTTGATCTGCTTGCTTAAAAAATCACCAGAGGCTGCCCCGGCAGAAGCTCCTCCAGCAGTGGCTCCACCACCGGCCCCAGAAATAAAGCCAGAAGCAGCAGAAGTGGCCACAGAAGAAAAAGAAGAGAAGGAGGAAGAAAAAGAAGAGGAGGAGGAGGAAGAAGAGGAGGAAGAATCAGATTCCTAAGGTTAGAAATAGGGAGATGAAGCCAAGTATATCAAACTCCTCAAGTACTGAGTGGGAATGAGATGTTTGGTGAAGTAGAAATAGATAGCTTTAGTGGCTCTGACTCAGATATACTGATGTAGAAGGAAGGATTCTTTCACTTTTATTATTTATTTTGGTAATTAAATTTACATTAATTTAATATGTTAAATATTTTAGTACCTTTTGCTTTTTCACATTTCATTTGAACCATTAACATGCATCTTTGGACATCAATGTCCTTGTCTTTTTGGCCCAATTGTTTTAGTCACCAGAAACTTTTTCAGGACATGCTATCTTCTATTTGTTTGACATACAGAATCATATGTACCTGAATTTATTACTAACTCTGGGATTTTCATTTTAAGTAACAACTACCTATTATGTGAGGACAGTTGTTTATGTGATTGGTTGTTCTAACTTGCCCTATAAATGTGCATTCATCAAAGGAGAAGTTTTTAAATCCAAAAACAAATAAAACCCGATTCATATTAGACAACTCTTCAGGTTCCACATGGTATAGTTACTGAGTCCACTTTATTCTGGGGCACTGTGGGAGGGACTATATCAAAGTAGAAGACCCTGATTGCCCGTAGGTTAAGAGGTCAGCATTGAGGTCACCTGCTTTCCAAATCTGGCAGATGTTTAATATGATATATGTATATTTGATTTATTACTTCCCAATATTTCTAGATGCTTCCTATAGCCATCCTCCCTTTTTACCTAAAATACTTTTTTTCTTCGAGGCCAGTTTTGTTTTGTTTTTTTTTTTTTTTTTTGAGATGGAGTCTTGCTCTGTCACCCAGGCTGGAGTGCAGTGGTGCGATCTCAGCTCACTGCAACCTCCGCCTCCCAGGTTAAGTGATTCTCCTGCCTTAGCCGCCAGAATAGCTGGGATTACAGGTGCATGCCATCACACCCGGCTTATTTTTGTATTTTTAGTAGAGACGGGGTTTCTCCATGTTGGCCAGGCTGGTCTCAAACTCCTGATCTACCTGCCTCAGACTCCCAAATTGAGGCCAACTTTCATAGCTCTTCTGTTTTACTAATTTTCCTGGGATGAACTTCATACCCCTCAGATAACTCGTGGCTGATGAACATCACTTAGAGTTAGGAAAACTGTGTTTACATTAATTCTATAATAGTATACTGGCATCTACCACAGTGCTGAGTATATGTATGAAATTAAACTATTTTTGGCCAGGCACGGTGGCTCACACCTGTAATCCCAGCACTTTGGGAGGCTGAGGAGGGCGGATCACCTGAGGTCAGGAGTTTGAGAACAGTCTGGACAACGTAGTGAAACCCCGTCTCTACTAAAAATACAAAAATTACCCGGGAGTAGTAGCATGTGCCTGTAGTTCCAGCTACTCTGGAGGCTTGAAGCAGGTGAACTGCTTGAAACTGGGAGGTTGAGGCTACAGTGAGCCAAGATCACACCACTGTACTCCAGCCTGGGTGACAAAGCGAGACTCTGTCTCAAAAAAAAAAACAAAAACTAAAAATAAATATTTTTTCCTCTAGTTTTCATTTTTAAAAAATTTATTTATATTAATAACTTGTTGATTGAATATCAGAAGGAACTTCTCCAGTACAGGTAATAGAGTTCTGGAGGTGGCAATTACTTCTCTGAGAAGAGAGCACAAAGCAAATATAATGTTAACATTAGGCCAGGCTTGGTGGCTCATGCCTGTAATCCCCACACTTTGGGAGGCCAAGTTGAAAGGATCACTTTTGGCCAGGAATTCAAGATCAGCCTGAGCAACATAGTAAGACCCTGTCTCTCCAAAAAAAAAAAAAAAAAAAAAAATTAGCTGGGCATAGTGGTGTGCAGCTATAATCCCAGCTACTCAGGAGGCTAAGCCAGGAGGATTGCTGAGTCCAGGAGTTTGAGGTTGCAGTGAGCTATGATACCACCACAGTACTCTAGCCTGGGCGACAGAGCAAGACCCTGTCTCAGATAAATAAAAACCATTCATTCTGTTCTAGGCACTGTGTTAAAGCAATACTTTACATTCATTGCCTTAATTTAATCCTCCCAACTTCCCAATAAAACCTCCATCTTGTACATGAGGAAACAGAGACTGAAGAGTTTGCTCTAGAGCTAGCTAGTAAGTGGTGGGACCTGCATCCCTCCCCAGAAATGAGTGAATCTACTGCCTCATGAACCTTTTCCTTCCATTAAAAAAAAAAAAAAAAAACTGAAGGGAAAGACATGTCCTTAATTGCCCAGAACAGAGGTGCTTCTTCAGTGACTCTAATGAAACCAAAGCCTTACAAATGGATGCTGATATCTGTCATGAATCTACTACATTGTGTAGTTATTATGGATGAAAATGTCTTTTCCCCTACTACATCCTGACAGAATGGAGTGGCAAGTTGGCATCATTATTTAGTTTTGTAGGCCCAGCTCACTACAGATGCTCAATAAATGTTGACCAAGTGAATAATTTAATCAAATCCAACTGTCACAACTGTGGCAATATTTGTACCTTGAGCAGGATTTTTTTTTTTTTTTTTTAAAGATGGTGTCTAGGCAGGGTGGATGGTGGAATAGAAGGCTCCACCAATCATCCCACCGCAGCAAGGACACCAACTTAACAACTATCTACACACAAAAAAGCACATTCATAAGAACTAAAAATCAGAAAGGATAACTGGACCAAACACAGCTGATCCTGCCAACAGAGGGAGCATTTAAACCAGCTCTAGCCAGAGGGAAATGATAGATCCCAGCATTGGAACTTGAGTTCCTGCAAGCCTCACCACCATGGGCTAAAGTGTTCTGGGGCCCCAAAGAAACTTGAAAGGCAGTGTAGGACACAGGGACTGCAAAACCTAGGTGAGTCCTAGTGCTGAATTGGCCCTGAGACAGTGGACTGAGTGAGAGGGTGGTGGGGACATGACCTACTTTGAAACCAGCTGGGGTGGCTAAGGGCATCACCCCTCCCCCTTCACCCCAGGCTGCACAGCTCACAGCTGTGAGAGACTCCCATTCCCTCCACCTGAGGAGAGGAGAGGGAAAAGTGCAGAGGTCTTTGTCTTATATCTTAAGATACCAGCTCAGCCACAGCAAGATAAGGCACTGGTCAGAGTTCTGGGGCCCACTTTCCAGGTCCTAACTTCTGGATGATAATACTAGACACACCCTGGGCCAGAAGAGAACCTGCTGCCTTGAAGGGAAGGACTAAGTTCTGGCAGCATTCATCACCTACTAACTGAAGAGCCCTTGGGCCCTGAATAACCAGCAACAATACCCAGGCACTACAACGAGGGCTTTGGGCGAGAGTCTGAGACTTGCTGGCTTCAGGTGAGACTAAGCACATTACCAGCTGTGGTGGTTATGGGGCAAGACTCCTTCCACTTGAGAAAAGCAGAGGGAAGAGTAAATGGGACTTTCTCTTACACCTTAGGTACCAGCTCGGCCACAGGTGAGTAGAGTATCAAGTGGGCTAGAGTCCCCGATTCCAGGACTTAGCCTTGGATGGCATTTCTGGACCTGCCCTGGGCCAGAGGGGAGCCTAATTTCCTGAAGGGTGAGCCCTGGGCCAGACAGCATTCACCACAAGCTGACTGAAGAGCCCTTGGGTCTTAAGGGAACTTTGGCAGTAGTCTGGCAGTACATCCCATGGGCCCATGGTGGCGGTGGCCACAGGGTAAGGCTCCTCTGCCTTTGGAAAGGGAAAGGAAGAGTGAGAAGGTCTGCATCTAGTGGTTTGAGTGCCAGCTCAGCCACAGTACAACAGAACATCAGGTAGACTTCTAAGGTTTTTGAATCTAGTCTCTGGGTCCTCTGGACCCACCCAGGGCCCGGGGAAACTCGCCACCCTGAAGGGAAGGACACAAGCCTGGCTGGCCTTGCCACCTGCTGATTGTAGAGCCCCAAGGCCTTGAATAAATATAGGCGGTAGTCAGGGAGTGGTTACAGCAGACCTTGGGCAAGACCCAGTACTGTGCTGGCTTCAGGTCTGACCCAGTGCAGTCATAGTGGTGGTAGCCTCAGGGGTGTTTGTGTCACTGCACCCCCAGTGGTGGCTCAGAACAGAGATAGACTCTGTATGTCTGAGAGAAATTAAGGGAAGAGAACAAGAGTCTCTGGCTGGCAATCCAGATTATCCTAGATCTTGTCTAAGACCATCAAGGCAGTATCTCTATGAATCTGCAAGAACCACAGCATTACTGGGCTTGGGGTGCCCTCTAAAGCAGATACAGCTTAGATAAGTCCTTACAAATATCTGGAAAGCCTTCCCAAGAAGGATAGGTATAAACAAGCCCAGACTGCGAAGACTACAATAAATACCTAATTCTTCAATGCCCAGACACAGACAAACATCTATAAGTATCAAGACAATCCAAGAAAACATGACCTCATCAAATGAACTAAACAAGGTACCAGGGACCCATCCTGGAGAAACAGCTATCTGACCTTTCAGACAGAGAATTCAAAATAGCTGTGTTGGAGGAAATTCAAAGAAACTCAAGATAATACAGAGAAGGAATTCAGAATTCTATCAGATAAATTTAACAAAGAGATTGAAATAATTAAAAAGAATCAAGCAGAAATTCTGGAGCTAAAAATGCAATAGGCATATTGAAGAATGCATCAGAGGCTTTCAGTAACAGAATTGATCAATCAGAAGAAAGAATTAGTGAGCCTGAAGAAGGCTATTTGAAAATAAACAGCCAAAGGAGCAAAAAGAAAAAGAAAAAAGGAAGCATGCTTACAGGATCTAGCAAATAGTCTCAAAAGGGCAAATCTGATTAATTGGCCTTAAAGAGGAGGTAGAGAAAGAGATAGGGGTAGAACGTTTATTCAAAGGGATAATAACAGACAACTTCCCAAACCTAGAGAAAGGTATCAATATCCAAGTAAAGAAGGTTGTAGACCACCAAGCAGATTTAACCCAAAGAAGACTACCTCAAGGGATTTAATAATCAAACTCCCAAAAATCAAGGATAAAGGATCCTAAAAGCAGAAAGAGAAAACAAGCAAATCAGCCAGGCTTCCTCAGCCCCATGGACTGCTGGGGCTGGGGCTGGGAAAATCAATTTTTTTTTTAATAAAAAAAGAAAGAAAACAAACAAATAACGTACAGTGGAGCTCCAATATTTCTGGTCACAGACTTCTCAGTGGAAACCTTACAGGTCAGAAGAGAGTGGCATGACGTATTTAAAGTTCTGAAGGAAAAAGCTTTTACCCTAGAATAGTATATCTAGTGAAAATATCCTTCAAACATGAAGGAGAAATACTTTCCCAAACAAAAGCTGAGGGATTTCATCAACATCAGACCTGCCCTACAAGCAATGCTTTCAAGGGAGCACTTCAATCAGAAAGAAAAGAATATTAATGAGCAATAAGTAATCACCCTGAAGGTACAAAACTCACTGGTAATAGTAAATACACAGAAAAACACATAATATTATAACACTGTAACTGTGGTGTTTAAACTACTCTTATTTTAAGTAGAAAGAATAAATAATATACCAATCAAAAATAATAACAACAACTTAGCAAGACATACATAGCATAGTAAAATATAAACGGAAACAACCAAAAGTTAAAAAGCACAGGTATGAAGTTAAGGTGTAGAGTTCTTACTAGTTTTCTTTTTGCTTGTTTTTTTATACAAATAGTGTTGTTATCAGTTTAAAATAATGGGTTATAATATAGTGTTTGCAAGCCTCATGGTAACCTCAAGCCAAAAAAAACATATAATAGATACACAAAAAATAAAAAGCAAGAAACTAAATTGTTATTATTATTATTATTTGAGACAGAGTCTCACTCTGTTGCCCAGGCTGGAGTGCAGTGGTGCGATCTTGGCTCACTGCAACCTCTGCCTCCCAGGTTCAAGGAATTCACCTCCCTCAGCCTCCTAAGTAGCTGGGATTACAGGTGCCCACCACCACGTCCAGCTAATTTTTGCATTTCTAGTAGAGACAGGGTTTCTCCATGTTGGCTAGGCCAGTCTTGAACTCCTGACCTCAGGTGATCCGCCTGCCTCGGCCTCCCAAAATGCTGGGATTATGGCCATGAGCCACCACACCTGGCCACAAGAAACTATATCATCAGAGAAAAGCACCTTTACAAAAAAAAGAAGACAGGAAGGAAAGAAAGAAGGAAAAGAAGACCACAAAACAACCAGAAAATAAATAACAAAGTGGAAGGAGTAAGTGCTTATTTATCAATAATAACACTGAATGTAAATGGACTAAACTCTCTAATCAAAAGACATGGGGTGGCTCAATGGGTAAAAATGCAAGACTCACTGATTTTTTGCCTACAAGAAAAACACTTCACCTATAAAGACACAGACTGAAAACAAAGAGATGGAAAAAGGGCCAGGTGCAGTGGCTCATGCCCATAATCCCAGCACTTTGGGAGGCCGAGGTGGGCAGATCACCTGAGGTCAGGAGTTTGAGACCAGCCTGACCAACATGGAGAAACCCCTTGTCTACTAAAAATACAAAATATTAGCTGGGCGTAGTGGCGCATGCCTGTAATCCCAGCTACTTGGGAGGCTGAGGCAACAGAATCACTTGAACCCAGAAGGCGGAGGTTGCGGTGAGCCAAGATTGCATCATTGCACTCCAGCCTGGGCAACAAGAGTGAAACTCTGTCTCAAAAAAAAAAAAAAAAAAAAAAAGAATAGCCTGGGACCCAATGGCTTCACTGCTTAATTCTACCAAACATTTAAAGAAGAACCAATACCAATCCTACTCAAACTATAGAAGAGGAAGGGATATTTCCAAACTCATTCTACAAGGCCAAGGCCAATATTATCCTGATTCCAAAAACCAGACAAATACACATCACCAAAAAGAAAGAGAGAAAGAGAGAAAGGAAGGAAGGAAGGAAGGAAGGAAGGAAGGAAGGAAGGAAACTAACTACAGGCATTGGTCTCTGATGAATATCTGATAAAAATCTTCAACAAATTACTAGCAAATCTAATTCAAGAATACATTAAGAAGATTATTCATCATGACCAAGTGGGATTTATCCCTGGGATGCAAGGATGGTTCAACATATGCAAATCAATTAATGTAATACATCATATCAACAGAATGAAGGACAAAATCCATACGGTCATTTCAGTAGATGCTGAAAAAGCATTTGATAAAGTTCAGCATACCTTCGTGATAAGAACCCTTATAAAAAAACTAGGTATAGAAGGAACATACCTCAACATAATAAAAGCCATATACCACAGACCTACAGCTAGTATCATACTGAATGAGGAAAAACTGAAACCCTTTCCTCTAAGATATGGAATATGACAAAGATGCCCCCTTTCACCAATGTTATTCAATATAGTGCTGGAAGTCCTAGCTAAAGCAATCAGACAAGAGAAAGAAATAAAAGGCATCCAAACTGGAAAGGAAGAAGTCAAATTAAACTTGTTTGCAGATGATATGATCTTGTATGTGGAAAAACCTCAAGGTTCCACAAAAAAACTATTAAAACTGATAAATTCAGTAAAGTTGTAGGATAAAAAATCAACATAAAAAATCAGAAGCATTTCTGTATGCAACAGTGAACAATCTGAAAAAGAAATAAAAAAGTAATCCCATTTATAATAGCCACAAATAAAATTACATACTTAGGAATTAACGTAACCAAAGAAGTGAAAGATCTCTGTAATGAAAACTGTAAAACACTGATGAAAGAAATTGAAGAGGATACCAAAAAAGTGGAAAGATATTCCATGTTCATGGATTGGAAGAATCAACATTGTTAAAATGTCCATACTACCCAAAGCAATCTACAGATTTCATGCAATCCCTATCAAAATATCAATGACATTCTTCATAGAAATAGAAAAAACAATACTAAAATTTATATGGAACCATAAAAGACCCAGAATAGCCAAAGCTATACTAAGCAAAAGGAACAAATCTGGAGGAATCACATTACCTGACTTCAAATTATACTGCAGAGCTATAGCAACCAAACCAGCATGGTACTGGCATAAAAACAGACACATTGACCAATGGAACAGAATAGAGAACCCAGAAACAAATCCACACACTGAGTGAACTCATTTTTGACAAAGGTGCCAAGAACAGGAAAAGACAGTCTCTTCAATAGATGGTGCTGGGAAAACTGGATATCCATATGCAGAAGACTGAAATTAGACCCCTATCTCTTGCTATATACAAAAATCAAATCAAAATGGATTAACACTTAAATCTAAGACATTAAACTATGAAACAACTACAAGAAAACATGGGGAAAAATCTCCAGGACATTGCTCTGGGCAAAAACTTCTTGGGTAATACCCTACAAACACAGGCAACCAAAGTAAAAATGGACAAATGGGCTCACATCAAGTGAAAAGGCTTCTGCATAGCAAAGGAAACAATCAACAAAGTGAAGAGACAACCCACAGAATATAAGAAAACATCTGCAAACTATCCATCTAACAAAGCATTAATAACCAGAGTATATAAGAAACTCAAGCCGGGTGCAGTGGCTCACACCTGTAATCCCAGCACTTTGGGAGGCCGAGGCGGGCGGATCACGAGGTCAGGAGATCGAGACCATCCTGGCTAACACGGTGAAACCCTGTCTCTACTAAAAATACAAAAATTTAGCCAGGCGTGGTGACGGGCGCCTGTAGTCTCAGCTACTCAGGAGGCTGAGGCAGAAGAATGGCGTGAACTGGCAGGCGGAGTTTGCAGTGAGCCGAGATTGTGCCACTGCACTCCAGCCTGGGTGACAGAGCAAGACTCCATCTCAAAAAAAAGAAACTCAAACAACTCCATAGGAAAAAATCTAATCTGATCAAATAGGCAAAAGATTTGAATAGACATTTCTCAAAAAAAGACACACAAATGGCAAACATGCATATGAAAAGGTGACTGTTCACTAATCATCAGAGAAATGCAAATCAAAACTACAATGTGATATCATCTCACCCCAGTTAAAATGGCTTATATCCAAAAGACAGGTAATAACAAATGCTGGCGAGGATGTGGAGAAAAGGGAGCCCTTCTACACTTTTGGTGGGAATGTAAATTAGTACAACCACTATGGAACTAAAACTAGAGCTACCATATGACTCAGCAATCTCACTGCTGGGTAAGGAAAGAAATCAGTATATTGAAGAGATATCTGCTGCACTCCCATATTTGTAGCAACACTGTTCACAACAGCCAAGATTTGGAGGCAACCTAAGTGTCCATCAACAGACAAATAGATAAAGAAAATGTGGGCTGGGTGCGGTGGCTCATGCCTGTAATCCCAGCACTTTGGGAGACTGAGGTGGGTGAACTGCTTGAGCACATGAGTTTGAGACCAGCCTGGGAAACATGGCAAAACCGTGTCTCTATAAAAAATACAAAAAATTAGCCAGGAGTGGTGGCATATACCTATAGTCCTAGCTACTCTGGAGGCTGAGGTGGGAGAATCACCTGGGCCCCAGAAGTTGAGGCTGCAGTACATGTACACAACAGAGTATTATTCGGCCATAAAAAGGAATGAGATCCTATCATTTGCAATAACATGGATGGAACTGGAGATCATTATGTTAAGTAAAATAAGCCAGGCACAGAAGACAAACATCATATGTTCTCACTTATTTGTGGGATCTAAAAGTTAAAACAACTGAACTCATGGAGATAGAAAATAGAAGGATGGCTACCAGAGGCTGGGAAGGGTAGTTGAGGGTAGGGGGAGGTAGGGATGGTTAATGGGTACAAAAAAAAATAAAGAATGAATAAGGCCTACTATTTGATAGCACAACAGGGTGACTATAGTCAGTAATAATTTAATTGTACATTTTAAAATAACTAAACGAGTATAACTGGATTGTTTATAACACTAAGGATAAATGCTTGAGGGGACAGATACCCCGTTCTCCATAATGAGATTATTATGCATTACACGCCTGTATAAAACCATCTTATGTACCCCATAAATATATATACCTACTATGTACCCACAAAAATTAGAATTAAAAAAATTAATAAACTGCTTTGGAGAAAATTTTCTTAAAAAAGAGAGATGAGGTCTCATTCTACTGCCCAGGCTGGAGTGCAATGGCACAATCATAGCCCTGAAATTCCTGGGCTCAAGCAACCCTCCTACTTCAGCCTCTTGTGCTAAGTATTTTTATTTTTATTTTTAGAGATGGAGGTCTCTGTTACCCAGACTAGTCTTGAACTCCTGGCCTCAGGTGATTCTTCCACCTTGGCCTCCCAAAGTGCTGGGGTTACAAGCATTAGCCACTGTGCCCAGCCAGGTAGGATGCTTTTTGCCAGTCCATAGCCACTGCACAATCCAAAATCTTGTTCAGATACAATATTGTTAATTTTATAAAGCTCATTAAGTAAATTTTGAATGTTCATAAACCCCAAACTCCAGCCAAATAAGGCTGAACCCCTTTAGGATAGACTGTGGCAGGGAAGGATGAGTTTTAATGGAGGCAGGAATGAATGAGCAGGTACATGGAACTTGGGATCTTAAATGTCTGGGTTCAAGAGTCAGAGTTCCCTTAAGCATGAGTGAGAATAGTCTGTTCTGCATGGTGTGTTTGTGCCTCTAGGAAGTATAGCCTTTCTCCTGGTTCCTCTCCCCAGTGTGTTGGGGAATTATGAGGAATGTTTACGTGTTGTCATTGGTAGTCACTTGTGACCCAGCCAGGTGCTGCCCCAAGAGACTCTGGTGTTGACTGGTGACTTCTTGCCATCCTTTATCTGCCTTCTCTGGACCGCTTTTGTCTTCTCTGTGCTGCCTCAGGCCAGTGGAGAACCAGGTCCTTCTTTTACTTACCCAAAGCACCGCCAAGTTCAGGCTCTAGTTTTATCTAGACTTGAGTTAAACAAAGGGAATGACGATATGGGAAAGAAAATACATTTGGATGTTACAGATATGTGTGTTCCTGGAGCCCAGGGGCCAAGCCCCTCCCTGGGGGACTTGGATTGGTGATCTCTCTCCTTGGCCCCAACCTGACATCTTTTCTTGTCCTTTTAGGAATGTCTGATGGAAATTCCTCCTAACCTGGGGTCATACTCCATTTCATTCTCTGGGCTCAGTGAGAGGGAAAATTTTTTTTTTAAGTAATTTACTGAAAACCCAGATCACACCATCATAAATTCAGATAGGTGCAATTCTGCCCACAATGAAGGCAAAGTGTTACACTAATTTGAAAACAGTTTAGCCTCTTATTCCCCCAAACTTCATTCTTGAATTTTGTCATTTTTTGTGGGCAAGCTGTGGGAAAGGGGCACAAAAGTATCACTGAAGTATTTTTTCAAAAAAGAAAAAAGGCAGTCTTCCTCTACTAATGAGAATGCAAAATGTTGAACAACTGTAAAATGTTTTCACCCTGCTTTTAGACATAAAGCTTTAAAAAACTGTGAGGTCTTTTATCACTTCCCCATTGTATATGTAATATGGCTCCAGATAATTACTCTGCCACGGGGAGAAAATCTTCCATAACTCTCCCCTATATATATGTATACTCCACCACCTTATCTTGTTATGTCATGGTGGTGGGAGTATTTATACCACAGAAACAGGCAAATGATACAAATCTGGGCTTCAGGCTAGGCGTGGTGGCACACCCCTGTAATCCCAGTATTTTGGGAGGCTGAGGGGCAGATCGCTTGAATCCAGGAGTTCAAGCTCAGCTTCGATAACATGGTAAAATATAATATAAAAATATAAAAATATAAAAATTACCCAGGCATGGTGGCTTGCGCCTGTAGTCTCAGCTACTCGGGAAGCTGAGGTGGGAGAATCAGTGAGCCCAGGCCAAGTCAAGGCTATAGTGAGCTGTGATGGTGCCACTGCACTCCAGCCTGGGTTACAGAGTGTGACCCTGTCTCAAAAAAAAAAAAAAAAAAAAAAAAAGACCCAACAAACTAATCTGACCTCAGTTCATTTGTTTATTTTCCTATTGACTTCATTCTTTAAATTTAAACATTTACTTTTAAGAAATATTTATATGCTAGGAACTAAATGGTTAAAGATAAAAAACACAGATTCTGGATGTAGAGAAATTAGAACCCACATGCACTGCTGGTGTGAATGTAAAATGGTGCAGCCACTTTGAATCAAAGCTTGGTAGTTTCTTAAAATGCTAAATAAATGCAGAGTTATCCTATGACCTAGCACTTCCACTCATATATGCATAATATACCCAAGAAATACAAAAACATATCCATACAAAAACTTGTACATGAGTATTTATAGCATGTTACTTATACATTAAATGAAAACAATCCAAATGTCTATCATTAACTAAAATGTAGTATATCCATATAATGGACCACTATTCAGCAATAAAAAAGGAATGAGCTGAGCTGGGCACAATCGCTCACGCCTGTAATCCCAGCATTTTGATAGGTCAAGGTGGGAGAACTGCTTGAAGCCAGGAGTTCCAGACCAGCCTGGGCAACATAGTGATACTCTGTCTCTAAAAAAAAATTTAAACTTAACAGTTTGTGGTGGCATGCACCTGTGGTCCCAGCTACTCAGGAGGCTGAGGCAGGAGAATCTCCATTTTTTTTTTTTTTTTTTGAGATGGAGTCTTGCTCTGTCGCCTAGGCTGGATGGAGTGCAATGACAAGATCTCAGCTCATTGCAACCTCTGCCTCCCAGGTTCAAGGGATTCTCCTGCCTCAGCCTCCCAAATAGCTGGGATTACAGATGTGCACCACCACGCCCAGCTAATTTTTGTATTTTTAGTAGAGACGGGGTTTCACCATGTTGGCCAGGCTGGTCTGGAACTCCTGAGGTCAAGTGATCCACCTGCCTTGGCCTCCCAAAGTGCTGGGATTACAGGCATGAGCCACTGTGCCCGACCAGGAGAATCTCTTGAGCCCAGGAGTTTGAGGCTGCAGTGAGCCATGACTGCACCACTGCACTCCAGCCTGGGCGACAGAGTGAAACCCCAACAATTTTTTTTTTTTTTTTTGAGACAGTCTTGCTCTGTCACCCAGGCTGGAGTGCAGTGGTATGATCTCAGCTCACTGCAAGCTCCGCCTCCCGGGTTCACAACATTCTCCTGCCTCAGCCTCCCTGGTAGCTGGGACTACAGGTGCCCGCCACCACGTCTGGCTAATTTTGTTTTTGTATTTTTAGTAGAGATGGGGTTTCACCGTGTTAGCCAGGATGGTCTCGATCTCCTGACCTTGTGATCTGCCTGCCTTGGCCTCCCAAAGTGGTAGAATTACAGGCGTGAGCCACCACGCCCGGCCAACCCTAACTCTTAAAAAAAAAAAAAAAAAGGAATGAAATACTAACACCTGCTACAATGTGGATGAACTTTAAGAATATCATGCTAAATTGGCCAGGCACGGTGGCTCATGCCTGTAATCCCAGCACTTTGGGAGGCTGAGGTGGGCAGACCATGAGGTCAGGAGATCGAGACCATCCTGGCTAACATGACGAAACCCCGTCTCTACTAAAAATACAAAAAATTAGCTGGGTGTGGTGGCAGGCGCCTGTAGTCCCAGCTACTCCTGAGGCTGAGGCAGGAGAATGGTGTGAACTCGGGAGGCGGGGCTTGCAGTGAGCTGAGATAGCGCCACTGCACTCCAGCCTGGGTGACAGAGCGAGACTCCGTCTCAAAAAAAAAAAAAAAGATTATGCTAAATTTAAAAAGTGCAAAAACTCTATTTAAGGGTTTCCTGTGTTCCATTGATCTATGTGTGTATCTCATCAGCAATACCGCATACTATTGAAACAGAAAAGAGTGATTTCTCCAAGTTATTATTTTCCAAAATTGTTTTAGCTAGTCTTGTTCCTTTGTCTTTTAGAAAATTTATATTGTAAAATATAAATTTTAAAATTTTCTTGTCTGTATCTACAAAGAATCTTGTTCGGATTGTGATATGAATTGGGTTAAGTCTATGTATCAGTTTGAGGAGAACTGGTATCTTTATTACGTTGTGTCTTCCAATTTGTAAACATAGCAAATCTCTATTTATTTACATCTTTGATTTCTTTCATCAGTGTCTTGTGGTTTTCATTTAATAGGTCCTGTACATATTTTGTTAAATTTACATCTAAATATTTCATTTTTTGAGTGATTTTAAATTGTATTTTTATTTTGATTAAATTGTTCATTGCTAGTATACAGAAATATAATTGATTTTTATATGTTGCTACTGTATCCTGCAAGGGGGAAGATTCAGTCTTTCACCATTAAGTAAAACATTAACTATAGGCTTTTTGTAGATGTTCTTATTACATTGAGGTAGTTTTCACTCTCTACCTAGTTTTCTGGGAGTTTTTATCATGAATGGATGTAAAGCTTAGCCAAATGCTTTTTTCTGCACCAATTGATATGATCATGGGATTTTTCTTATTTAGCCTGCTAACATGGTGAATTCAATGTTTGATTTTCAAACATAAACCAATCCTGCATCCCTGGAAAAAACAAAACTTGGTCATGGTGTATAATTCTTTTTTTCACATTGCTGAATTTTATTTGCTAATATTTGGTTAAATTTTTTTTGCATCTATATTCATGAAGGATATTGGTCTGTAGTTTTCTTTTTTTGTACTGTCTTTCTCTGGTTTTGGTATCAGGGTGATGCTGGCCTCATAAAATGAATCGGATAGGGTTCCCTTTCCTTCTCTTTTATTTTTCTAGAAGAGATTGTGTAGAATTAGTGTTAATTTATTTTTAAAGGTTTGTTATAATTCTCCAGTGAAACCATCTGGGCCTGATTATTTTTCTTGGGAGATGTGAAGTTATAAATTCAATTTTCTTTTTTCTTTCTTTTTTTTTTGAGATGGAGTTTTCCCAGGCTGGAGTGCAATGGCATGATGTCGGCTCACCGCAACCTCCACCTCCTGGGTTCAAGCGATTCTCCTGCCTCAGCCTCCCAAGTAGCTGGGATTACAGGCACGTGCCACCATGCCTGGCTAATTTTGTATTTTTAGTAGAGACAGGGTTTCTCCATGTTGGTCAGGCTGGTCTCAAACTCCCAACCTCAGGTGATCCGCCCGCCTCAGCCTCCCAAAGTGCTGGGATCACAGGCATGAGCTACCGTGCCTGGCGAAATTCAATTTTCTTAATAGCTATAAAGATATTCAACTTATCTAGTTCACATTGGGTGAGATGTAGTAGTTTGTGCTTTTTGAGAAATTGGTCCATTTATCTAAGGTATCAAATGTACGTCTGTAAAGCTGTTTGTAGTGGTTCCTCATTATTCTTTTGGCATCTGTTAGGTCTGTAGTGATATATTATTTCATTCTTGATTGCCATATTGTTTTAAAACAAGAATTTAGGCTGGGCCCAGTGGCTCACGCCTGTAATCCCAGCACTTTGGGAGGCTGAGGCGGGCGGATCATGAGATCAGGAGATTGAGAACATCCTGGCTAACACAGTGAAACCCCATCTCTACTAAAAATACAAAAAATTAGCTGGGCATGGTGGCACGTGCCTGTAGTCCCAGCTACTTGGGAGGCTGAAGGAGAATCACTTGAACCAGGGAGGCAGAGGTTGCAGTGAGCCAAGATCGGGAGGCTGAAGGAGAATCACTTGAACCAGGGAGGCAGAAGTTGCAGTGAGCCAAGATCGCACCACTGCACTCCAGCCTGGGCGACAGAGCAAGACTCCACTTCAAAAAAAAAAAAAAAAAAAAAAAAAAAAAAAAAGAAGAAGAAGAAAACAAGAATTTATGACTTAAATTTTCTTTTTTGGGTGTACCTCTTAATAACTACATATCCTCTTTTCCCCTTTAATGATTTTATTTTATTTCATTTCATTTTATTTTATTATTTTTTGAGATGGAGTCTCGCTCTGTCGCCCAGGCTGGAGTGCAATGGCGCGATCTCAGCTCGCTGCAACCTCTGTCTGCCTCCTGGGTTCATGCCATTCTCCTGCCTCAGCCTCCTGAGTAGCTGGGACTCCAGGTGCCTGCCACCACGCCCAGCTAATTTTTTGTATTTTTAGTAGAGGCGGGGTTTCACCATGTTAGCCAGGATGGTCTTGATCTCCTGAACTCGTGATCCGCCCACCTCAGCCTCCCAAAGTGCTGGGATTAGAGGTGTGAGCCACTGCCTGTAAAATTAATGATTTTAATCTTGAATTTTACTTTGTTTTGAACATTGCAATCCCTGCTTTCTTCTTATTTGTTTTTGCCTGGAATATTTGTGCTCAACCTTTTAATTATATTTTCATGGTAGAAAAAGGTAAGAGGAATGGCAAATAAATTTTTTTTTTTTTTGAGATGGAGTATTGCTCTGTCACCCAGGCTGGAGTACAGTGGTGTCATCTCAGCTCACTACAACCTCCACCTTCCAGGTTAAAGTGATTCTTGTTCCTCAGCCTCCCAAGTAGCTGGGACTACAGGCGCATGCCACCAGGCCCAGCTAATTTTTGTACTTTTAGTAGAGATGGGGTTTCACCATGTTGGCCAGGCTGGTCTCGAACTCCTGATCTCAAGTGATCTGCCTGCCTGGGCCTCCCAAAGTGCTGGAATTACAGGCATGAGCCACTGTGCCTGGCCACAAGTAAATTATTTTGATGGAGCACTTAACTGCTATAACTTACTATTTATATTGACATAATGATAGAGGTTTATTCATGATTATTAGCAACAGGAAAGTAACCACTAGAGTAACTGAGTATTGACAAGCAAAGTAAAACTTTACAAAGTAACATAGGAATAAGAAAAGGAATAAAGGAAATCTATCCAAGCCAGTGAAAGACAGGGAAAAAAAGGGAAGCAATAGAAAGTATAATAAATATTATATAATTTTCAGAATAGCATTCTGAATTGGATGACAATGTATTTTCTCCTCTTATTAATAATTTTCTTCTCAGTAATTTCTTCTTACTGAAAGCTCTTCTAACTAAATAGAGACAGTGAGGCTGAAGTTTATTGTCCCAGGAAGAAAGGAATCAAATAATAAGAATAAAGAGTCAAATTTTTGGTTTTGAGTTCCAAAATGGGCTCTCAAAATCTTTGGCAGGGCTGAACATGGTGGCTCACACCTGTAATCCCAGCACTTTGAGAGGCCAAGGCAGGAGGACTGCTGGAGCCCAGGAGTTCGAGACCAGCCTAGGCTAAATACTGAGGTCCTATCTCTACCAAAACAAACAAACAAACAAACAAACAAACAAAAAACTAGCCCAGCATGTGGCTACTTGGGAAGCTGAATCCTTGGCAGAAAAAAATAGCCTTAGGATCAAAGTATTTTTTATTTATTAAGAGTGGATGGCCGGGGATGGTGGCTCACACCTGTAATCCCAGAACTTTGGGAGGCTGAGGAGGGTGGATCATTTGAGATCAGGAGTTTGAGACCAGCCTGGCCAAATGGTGAAACCCTGTCTCTACTAAAAACAGAAAAATTAGCTGGGCGTGGTGATGCATGCCTATAATCCCAGCTACTTGGGAGGCTGAGGCAGGAGAATTGCTTGAACCTGGGAGGTGGAGGTTGCAGTAAGCCAAGATCACACCACTGCAATCCAGCTTGGGTGACAGAGCAAGATTCTGTTTCCAAAAACAAAACAAAACAAAACAAAACAAAACAGGAGTTGTGCTTTTGAGCCCGAGGTGTGCCTATCAAGTGAGCCCAGGAATTCAAGACCAGCCTAGCCAGCACGATGAAAACCTGTCTGTACTAAAAATACAAAAATTAGCTGGGGGTGGTGGTGTGCACCTGTAGTCCCAACTATTTGGGCAGCTGAGGCATGAGGATTGCTTGAACCTGGGAGGCGGACGTTGCAGTGGGCTGAGATTGCGCCACGGCACTCCAGCCTAGGCAAGAGTAAGACTCTGTCAAAAAAATAAAAAATAAAATAAATAAAAAAGTCTGGGTGCAGTGGCTCACGCCTATAATCCCAGCACTTTGGGAGGCTGAGATGGGCGGATCATGAGGTCAGGAGATCAAGACCATCTTGGCTAACACGGTGAAATCCCATCTCTACTGAAAATACAAAAAAATTGGCCGGGTATGGTGGTGGGCACCTGTAGTCCCAGCTACTTGGGAGGCTGAGGCAGGGCGAATGGCGTGAACCTGGGAGGCCGAGCTTGCAGTGAGCCGAGATTGTGCCACTGCACTCCAGCCTGGGCAACAGAACGAGACTCCATCTAAAAAAAAAAAAAAAAAAAAAAAAAAAAAAAAAAAAAAAGGTGAGGGTGGGGGTGCTTTTTTGAGAAGCTAGGAGAGTCATGTTCCTAGAAGTCAAGACCTGGATTCCTTAAGAGAATAGGGCTTATACTATAAGGCACAGAGGAAAAAAGACCAGTTTATTCATTATTTAAAAAAAAAAAAGAAATAAAAATCCTCTCTGGGTAAAGGAAGGAGGAAGAACCTTGGAGAATATTCAGATAGGACAGTGAGGTAATTTTGACATTGGTGTAAAGGCTTGCTCCCTTAGAGTTAAAACCCTGTTAGAAGAGCTATAAAAATTCCAAGATAGATTTGGGAATTGGATATAGAAGTGGTTTATGTTGAAAGCAGTGGATAATTTATTAAAAAGTTATACCCAGCCAGGAGTGGTGGCTCACTCCTGTAGTCCTAGCACTTTGGGAGGCTGAGGCAGGCGGATCTCTTGAGCCCAGGAGTTTAAGCCAGCCTGGGCAACTTGGTGAAACCTCATCACCACACACAAAAAAACAAAAAATGTTATATCTACTCCTACCTCCACTAAGAAGACATGGAAGGTAGCTGAGAATTGAAGATATTTATGGAACACTTCATTCACCAAAAGCAGAATACACATTCTTCTCAAGCTCATATGATACATTCCCTAAGACCACATTCTGGGCCATAAAACATAGTTTAGCAAAATTTTAAAAATAGAAATCAAACAAAGTATGCTCCTGGACCACAATGAAATTATTTTTGAAAAAATATATAGAGTATTTATTAACTGTACACTTAAAAATAGTAAAGATGGTAAATCAGATCTATATTTTTATTTCAATTTAAAAAATAAAAAATAGATTTCTTAAAAATGTAATTATACTAGAAGTCAGTAAGAGAGATAGCTGGAAAATCCTAAAATATCTAGAGATGAAACAACACACTTCTAAGTAACACATGGGTCAGCCGGGCATGGTGGCTCATGCCTGTAATCCCAGCACTTTGGGAGGCCAAAGGGATGGATTGCTTGAGCCCAGAAGTTCAAGACAAGCCTGGGCAACACAGGGAGACCCCATCTCTTCAAAAAATTAAAAATTAGCTGATGGTGTGCACCTGTGGTCCCAGCTACTCGAGAGGCTGAGGCAGCAGGATCACTCCAGCCTGAGCAACAGCGTAAGACCATCTCAAAAATAATAAATAAATAAATAACATATGGGTCAAAGCAGTCTCAAGAGAAATTTTAAAATATTTTGAACTAAATTAAAATGAAATGCAACTTGTCAAAATTTTGTGGGATGCAGTGAAAGCAATACTTCAATGAAATTTATAGCACTTAATGAATATATTAGGAAAGAACATCTAAAATCAATAATCTTAGCTTCAATTTAGGAAACGAGAGAAAGAAAAGCAATGTAAGCCTAAAGCAAACAGAAGAAAAGAGATACAAAAATAAAAACTGAAATAAATAAAACTGAAAATAAGAAATCTATTGAGAAAAGGAATGAAACCAATGTGTTTCTTTGGGAAAAATCAATATAATTGATAAACCTCTAGGCAAAGTAACCAAGAAAAAACTAGAAAAGACATAAATTGCTAATATCAGAAATGAAAGAGGGGCCCATCACTACTGATCCCATAAACATTAAAAGAATAATAAATATTAGGAATACTTCCATGCTCACAAATTTGATAAGAGATGAAATGGACCAATTCCTAGAAGGACACAATCTGTTAAAGCCCATACGAAAAGAAACACATCATCTTAGTGTAGCCTGTATCTATTTAAAAATTGAATCAATAATTAGTAACTTTTCAAAGAGGAAAGCACCAGGCCTAGATGGGGGATCACTGGTAAATTCCACCAAACATTTAAGAAAGAAGCGATACTGGCTGGGCGCAGTGGCTCACACCTGTAATCTTAGCACTTTGGGAAGCTGAGGCAGGTGGCTCACAAGATCAGGAGTTCAAGACCAGCCTGGCCAAGATGGTGAAACCCTGTCTCTACTAAAAATACAAAAATTAGCTGGGCGCCATGGCAGGCGCCTGTAATCCCAGCTACTTGGTAGGCTGAGGCAGGAGAATTGCTTGAACCTGGGCGGCAGAGGTTGCAGTGAATCTACATCACGCCACTGCACTCCAGTCTGAGCAACAGAGTGAGACTCCATCTCAAAAAAAAAAAAAAAAAGAAAAGAAAAAAGGGAAAAAGAAAGAAGCAATACCAATTAGTTACAATCTCTTCCAGAAAACAGTAGCTGAGAGAACATTTCCTAAATCATTCTATGAAGCCAGCATTACCCTAATACTAAAACCAGATGAAGACAATCAAAGCAAAACGACAGACCGTATCTTTTATGAACACAGATGAAAAAATTGTCAACAAAATATTAGCAAATTGAACCAATGTGTATAAAGAATTATACACCACAACCAAGTGCGATTTATTGCAGGTATACAAGGCTGGTTCAGCATTCAAAAATCAATTAAAATAATCCATTATGTCAATGGACTAAAGAAGAAAAATCATATAATAATACCAGTAGATGCAGAAAAAGAATTTGACAAAATCGACACATATTCATAATAAAGCCTCTCAGCAAACTAGGAATAGAGGGGAGCTTGATTTAAAAAAAAAATCAACTTGATAAAAAAATCTACCTACAAAAAACCTATAGCTAACATTATACTTAATGGTGAGAAACTGCATGCATTCCTACTAAGATTGGGAATAAGGTAAGTAAGGATGACCCTTTCAACACTTCTATTCAACTTCGTACTGGAAGTCCTAGTTAACACCATAAAACAATAAAAAGGAAATAAAAGGCAAACAGGTTGAGATTGAAGAAACAAAACTGTCTTTGCCTACAGATGACACAATTATCTATGTAGAAAAATCCCAAAGAATAGGCAAAAACAAAAAACGAACCACCCTTCTGGAACTAAGATGTGATTACAGCAAGGTTACAGGTTACAAAGTTAATATAAAAAATCAATCACTTTCCTACATGCTAGCAATAAACAAGTGGAATTTGAAATTGTAACCATAATGCCATTTACATTAGAACCTCCAAAGGGAGAAGTACTTAGATATAAGTCTAATGAAATATGTGCAAGACCTATATGAGGAAAACTGCAAAACCCTGCTGAAAGAAATCAAAGGAGGTCTAAATACATGGAGACATATTTCCTGTTTATGGATAGGAAGACTCAATATTGTTAACATGTTAGTTCTTCCCAACTTGATCTACAGATTCAAGACAATCCCAATCTAAAGCCCAGCAAATTATTTTGCGAATACAAACTGAATCTAAAGTTTACATGGAAATCACAAACCAACACAATACTGAAGAAGCACAAAGTTGAAGGACTGACACAATCTGACTTCAAAATTTACTATAAGGTTATAGTAATTAAGACAGTGTGATCTTGGTGTAAGAGTGGACAAATGGATCAATAAAATAGAATAGAGAATCCAGGAACAGACTCACAAAAATACAGTCAATCAACTGATTGCTGACAAAGGAGCAAAGGAAATTCAATGGAGAAAATATAGCCTTTTCAACAAATGGTGCTGCAACAATTAGACATCCACATTACAAAAAAAAAAAAAAAAAGGAATCTAGACACAGAACTTACTCCTTACATAAAAATTAACTCGGAATTAATCATATACTAAAATGTAAAACGCAAAGCTGTACAACTTCCAGGCTGTAGTACAGTGGTGCCATTTTGGCTCACTACAACAACCTCTGCCTCCCAGGCTCAAGCGATCCTCCCACCTCAGCCTCCTGAGTAGCTGGGACCACAAGTGCTCACCACCACACCCAGCTAATTTTTTTGTATTTTTGGTAGAGATGGGCTTTTGCCATGTTGCCCAGGCTGGTCTTGAACTCCTGAGCGCAAGCAATACACCTGCCTCAGCTTCCCAAAGTGCAGGGATTACAGGCGTGAGCCATGGTGCCCGGCCAATGATGACTTCTTAGAGACAATACCAAAAAAGCATGATCCATGAAAGAAAAAAATGATAAGTTGGACTTCAATAACATTTTAAAAATCTGCTCTGTCAAAGACACTGTTAAGAGAATGAAAGGACAAGCAATAGACTGAGAGAAAATATTTCAAAAATACATATATGATAAAAGATTTGTACCTAAATATACAAAGAACTCTTAAAACTCAAAAAGAAAATAATCCAATTTAAAAAGGGGCAAAAGATCTGACCAGACACCTTACCAAAGATATGCAGATGGCAAATAAGCACATAAAAAGATTCTCAATATCATATGACATTAGGGAATTGCAAAACGAGGCCAGGTGCAGTGGCTCACATCTGTAATCCCAGCACTTTGGGAGGCCGAGGCGGGCAGATCAGGAGGTCATGAGATTGAGATCATCCTGGCTAACATGGCGAAACCACGTCTCTACTAAAAATACAAAAAATTAGCCAGGCATGGTAGCACATGACTGTAGTCCCAGCTACTCGGGAGGCTGAGGCAGGAGAATCACTTGAACCAGGGAGGCAGAGGTTGCAGTGAGCCAAGATTGTGCACTGCACTCCAGCCTGGGTGACAGAGCGAGACTCTGTCTCAAAAAACAAACAGACGAACAACAACAAAAAAACCCCAATAAAAACACAAAACACTGACAATACCAAAAGCTAGCTAGAATGTGGAGCATCAGGAACTGTAATCCACTGAACAATGGTATAGCCACTTTGGAAGATAGTTTGGCAGTTTCTTACAATGTTACATATGGGCTTACCATATGATCCAGCAATCATGCACCTAGGTATTTACTCAAAAACTTATGTACACACAAAACCTGTATACAAATGCTGATAGCAGCTTTATTCATAATGGCCAAACACAGGAAAATGTCCTTCAATTGGCAAGATTTGCCTTCATAAGTGAGTGAATAAACATACTGTGGTACATCCAGAGTGAAATATAATTCAGTGATGAAAAGAAATGATCTATAAGGTCACAAAAAGACATAGAGGAATCTTACATGGATATTGTAAAGTAAAAGAACAGTCTGAAAAGGTTACATACTGTATGCTAAATATATGTCACTTGGAAAACACAAAACTATAGAGAAAGCAAAAAGATCAGTGGTTGCCAGGGGTTTGGAGAGAAAGAGGGAGAGATAAATAGGTGGAACACAAGGGATTTTTAGGGCAGTGAAACTGTTCTGTACAACATGGCAATGGTGGCTACATGACATTATACATTTGTCAAAACTCATACAACTATATAACACAAAAAATGAGCCCTAATGTAAACTATGGACTTTAGTTTATAATAATGTATCAGTATTGGCTCATCAATTGTAACAAACATACCATACTAATTAAAGATGCTAATGGAGAAATCCTGTGTGGAGGTAGACGAGGTACATGGGAACACTGTAATATCAGCTGAATTTATCTTTTCTTTTTTTTTTTTCGAGACAGAGTATCACTCTGTCTCAAAGAGCAACATGGTGAAACCCCATCTGATGCCCTAGATATGAGTACATCTGAGAGATTTATTCCCTAGACCCTGGAACATTTAAAACAACTTGGCGCTCTAATCTCTTTTTCCTTTCCATGCTACTTATGTATTACAGGAAAGGTCTACTCATACTTCCTTCCAGGACTTGCTGGGTTTTTTTTTTTTTTTCCAAGCCGATCCCTGGTGTTTTATACTCAGGATCTCATAGCTGATTCCCCTTATGCTAATGGACATATATCATATCAAATAGGGAAGTGCCCATATCTCAGATACAGAGGGAATTTTAGAGCAAGGATCAAAATCAGTCTATTTAAATGAGGTAAATGTCCATGCAGAAGAGATTCTTAGGACAACAAAGTGGTAGGTCAAAGACCATGCCCACAAACTCTTTCGGAGGCAGAAAAGGTTTGGGGGTTTGAAATGGGCTGTGTGGTACAGAGTAGAGAATGGTGCAAGAGGCACTGGACAGCAGAGGCCTGTGACCTATCCAGAGACCCACAAAGGCCTGCTCTGGAACCTTTAGTTTCAATGAGCCAAAAGAATAACACATGCCAGGAGAGGTGGTAGAAGCTGTTTCATGGGCACTACAACTGACAGGAAAAGGTTATTTTTTTTTCCTTTTCTTGAGGCCTGATCCTGGGTCATGGAACTTGCTGGACCTCTGAAATCTTCCTCTCCTTGGTATATTCTTCCATGAAAACAGCAGAAGGCAGGGCATGGTGGTTCACGCCTGTAATCCCTACACTTTGGGAGGCCGAGGCGGGCAGATCATCTGAGGTCAGGAGTTCAAGACCAGCCTGGCCAACATGGCGAAACCCCGTCTCTACTAAAAATACAAAAATTAGCCGGGCGTGGTAGCGGGTGCCTGAAATACCAGCTATTCAAGAGGCTGAGGCAGGGGGAATTGCTGGAACCCAGGAGGCGGAGGTTGCAATGAGCTGAGATTGCGCCATTGCTCTCCAGCCTGGGCGACAGAGCGAGACTCCGTCTCAAAAAACAAACAAACAAAAACAACAGCAGGAGTTCAGCTAAGGAACACTAAAATGTTGAGGCAGGTTGCAAAGTAAGGACACTCATGAAGAGAGAGAGGAGTAGGAATAAACATGATCAAAAGGCAGGTGTCATCATGTAATAGTCAGGTGGGAACAGCTATCCTTCTGGCAGGCAGCATAGCTTTGAGCTTTAACCAAACAACTACATCACTGACAAAGGTCTGGGTCTAGGAAAAACAACTGAGATACAGAGGTTCAGGATTATTGGCTGTTTCACTTGGGCCATGACAATGACATCCCTAATTAATTACTTTGCCTCCCTCTTGATCCTTCTTCTGTGAAATCAAGCGGTCATAGGTAAGGTTTGGAATGATTTGCATTTTATCTTATTTTATTTATTTAGAAACAGGGTCTCACTCTGGCACCCAGGCCATGCAGGCTGGAATGCAATAGTACAATCATAGCTCACTGTAACCTCAAACTCCTATGCTCCAGTGATCCTCCTGCGTCAGCCTCCTTGAGTAGCTAGGACTACAGGTACATGCCACCACGCCTGGCTAATTTTTTAAATTTTTGTAGAGACAGGGTCTTGTTATGTTTCCCAAGCTGGTCTCAAACTCCTGGCCTCAAGTAATCTATCCACCTCAGCCTCCTGAAGTGCTGGAATTGTAGGTGTGAGTCACCACACCTAGCCTTGGAAATATTTTTCATCCAGGAATCCCTACATGGGGTTTTGAGAATGGGGGAAATATCTTTATTATAAAATAGTCATCCTAGAAACTTGATGATATTCAGAGGACTAGAAGAAAAAGGAGAAAAGGTGGCCTATGTCTTAATATGAGAAAATGGAATATTATTAAATTTGAAGCAAAATTAAGGATTGTTAATAAAAAACTTCCCTATCTGTACACATTAAAATGGGAAATAGAGCTTGGGCATGCCTTTTATACAGGATCACTGTTACTATAATGTAGAGTCAACAGTGACCTAGATTCTTTGGTGACTATCAGCACTTAAAAGGACCTTTTAAGAACTGGACTTCGGGTCGGGTGCAGTGGCTCATGCCTGTAATCCCAGCACTTTGGGAGGCCGAGGCGGGTAGATCACCTGAGGTCAGGAGTTCAAGACCAGCCTGACCAACATACCTCAAACAAATTTGAACATATGGTTTACAGCATATCTTGAAATCAGGATTCAGAGCAGAATAGAGCCCAGACCACATGCCCCATATATGGTTGTTTCCCAAATATGTAGAAATGTTTATTGTGGTTGACAATAAGTGGTTACAAATGTGGAATAATATAATGTGACCAACATTACACAGATGGTAACAGATGTTCACACGCTGGCCAAGTGATACAATAAGGAGCTAAATAATACTTACTGGTTAGATATATGGACTAGTTGGAGATACGGACAGAGAGAAGGCTAGTGCAAATGCCCCTGAATCTGCAGAAAATGTTTCAAAATTTTAACTGCGGAGAGACCAGCTGGCACCCCTTCAGAAAGGTGAAACATGTTGTTGCTCATATTTGGACCATTGGTCAAAATCCTGGAAAGTACCAGGGCTATGCATTTCTCAGTTGTATCTGTAGAGCTAAGAATACAATGAGTGTTGAATCTTTCTTTCATGAAGATATACCCCACTTTGCAGCTCTCATAGCTCATGAGCTTGGCCACAGCTTGGATATGAAACATGACTATATGGCCTACAAGTGTCATGGCCAGAACCTTTGTATTATGCATAAATTTATTACTATAGATATGGGCTTCAGCAACTGAAGCTTCCACTGATTCCATTAGTTTTTGCATAGGCACAGAGAAGACTGTTTAATAAACTTGAGCACCAAATCTCCTTTGGAAAGCCATATTGTGGGGACAAGATAGTGATGAAGGAGAAGAATGCAAGTGTGGCATTCTTTGATTGTGAAAGAATCCCTCTCATTGATTGTGAAAGGGATCACTGTTGTCTGCCCTCACAATAGCTGAAGAAGGGTTCAGATTGTGCATTTGGATTCTGTAGCAGACACTGCAAATTTCCAAGAGCAACCACACCCTGCTGCCTCAGTGGAGGTGAATATGACCTCTGAGAGTACTTTAATGGCACCTCCGAGTGGTGCCACACAGATATATACAAGGAAGATGGTATCCCTTGCAAAGAACAAGGTTATTGTTACCAGGGCCAGTGCAGAAGCCTAGAGAATCAGTGCATTAAAATCTCTGGAAAGGGCAAATGAGCTGCTTGGAAAAATTATCATTACCAAGGGGGATAGGTTTGGAAACTGGCAGTGAGTCTAAAGGATTGTTTAAAGTCTTCAGGAACTACAAGGCCAAATATGTAAGATGTGAGAGACTGCTATGTGAAAACATCTAAAGATCCCATAAACTGAAAAACATCAAACACCCATTTTCCCATGCAGGACATGTAGTGTTGGAGTATAAACAGGGCTGACGAGGGGGAGGTAAAAGATAGTCCATATGGTCCACAAAAGATCTGTATCAATCATTCCTGCTTAGATACCACTGTACTCCACTATGACTGCAACCTGGACAAGTGTCATGGGAGGGTTGTTTGCAACAATTTTAAGAACTAGCACTTGTCTACAACTATGCCCCTCCTACATGAGAATTTAAGGGTTAGGAGGTAGTCTAACAGTGGCCCAGCTCCACATATCCCCTCTGACTCTCAGTATGACAAAAAGCTGATAATCCTAATTCAAGTCTTATCTAGCCGCTTATTATTTCTCATTCCTACTATCTTTTTGTTTGCTTACATCCACGCATGATCTAAGAAATTGTCATACATCACTGGAACAGCAAGATAAACAAACCTGAAAAATATTTGATAATTACCTTCTTTCTGGTAATAAGGCCAAATATGAAGTGATACTGAAAGGACCTTTTAAGAAATGGACTTCTGGCCAGGTGTGGTGGCTTACGCCTGTAATCCCAGCACTTTGGGAGGCCGAGGTGGGTGGATCACCTGAGGTCAGGAGTTCAAGACCAGTCTGACCAACATGGTGAAACCTCGTCTCCACTAAAAATACAAAAATTAGCTGAGCATGCTGGCATGTGCCTGTAATCTCAGCTACGCGGGAGGCTGAGGCAGGAGAATCGCTTGAACCTGGGAGGTAGAGGTTGCAGTGAGCCGAGATCATGACATTACACTCCAGCCTGGGCAACAAGAGTGAAACTCTGTATCAAAAAGAAAGAAGAGGAAAGAAAGAAAGAAAGAAGGAAGGAAGGAAGGAAGGAAGGAAGGAAGGAAGGAAGGAAGGAAGGAAGGAAGGAAGGAAGGAAAGAAAGAAAAGAAAGGAAAGAAAGGAAAGAAAGAAAGGAAAGAAAGGAAAGAAAGAAAGGAAAGAAAGGAAAGAAAGAAGGAAGGAAGGAAGGAAGGAAGGAAGGAAGGAAAGAAAGAGAAAGAAAGAAATGGACTTCTGGTGGGGCGCAGTGGCTCATGCCTGTAATCCCAGCACTTTGGGAGGCCAAGGCGGGTGGATCACCTGAGGTCAGGAGTTCGAGACTAGCCTGACCAACATGATAAAACCCCGTCTCTACTGAAAAACTACACAAATTAGCCAGGTGTGGTGGTGGGCTCCTGTAATCCCAGCTACTTGGGAGGCTGAGGCAGGAGAATCGCTTGAACCCGGGACGGGGAGGTTGCAGTGAGCCGAGATCATGCCAACACACTCTTCCCTGGGCGACAGAGCAAGACTGTCTCAAAAAAAAAAAAAAAAGAACTGGACTTCTTGGTTCTGGTGTCCCTCAGGGACTATGGATATAGGAACTCTTTCTTGCTTCCATCTATTTTTCTATATGCTGACTGCTTATTAGTTTTTAAATTAAAAGAAGTTAACGCAGCTTTCTAGGTGAGGCAGTCTTTTTTTGTTCTGTGCTATCATGAAATCAGGTCTCAGGATTTTGGGGACAATGAGAAGCTTCAATATATGATCTTGACAGAATAAGGCCAGGTTACCCTCCATAACTTCCATGAAGCTCATGGTCTAAAACCGAAAGAGCTATCATTGAGCTCCCTGACATTTCTATAGAGAGCTCTTTTGGAAAAATCTCTGTAACTTACTTTTCAGAACATCCTGTCTAATCTTCCGTTATAATCCTCTCAATCAATTTCTCTAATCTTAAAGATTTTGCCTTGGACATACCAAGATAATGTATCAAGTGAGAATAAGGCTGCTTTTGTGATCATCAGATTATTAGGTCTAGATGTTTTGATTAATTATCATTCCAGTCACCTTGTCCATTTGGCTTTCCCTTTGTTTTGGCATCATAGTATATGATGCTCTGGCCTCAGATTGGCCTTGTTCATAACTTAGCTGGAGAGACCAAATATCACTGTTACATGATTCAAGAGGAATTAACAGATTAGATAGATATTCCCACCCCTGAATGAAGCTCTGCAGTCCGAGAATCTTTTCTTTCCCAAAAGATTTAAATTTTACTTATAAGTCACTAATTTGCTTGTTCACTCATTTATCCTATAAACATATATTTAACACTTACTATTAGGCTGAACTATGTGAAATTGATGACATTAGACCATTTTCACCTATAAAAATGGCAAGTTGTTCATACTGTTCAATCTAACTTTATACTTTGATAAATGAACACAATGAAACCAACCTTGTACTTCTGCTTGTAAATGCAAGTTAACAGTTATTGATTACTAGAGGTTTTTTTTAGTCTCTATTTCTCTTAAATCTTATTGTCCCTGTGACTTCAAAAGATTAGTCTTAGTATTCTAGAGTGGGGTGATCCCTATTGTTCAAGTCCTAGAACAGAACTGAACATATGAGACTAAGATGTGGTGTGTCTAAAGGTCCCACTGTCACTTTTTTGATAGTAGTTCTCCTTGTTTCCTATGAGTTTCCAAAACTCTTCATAGAATGGAAACCCAGGATTTTCTGTGTTCAACTTTAGAGACAGTAATAGCAATGGCAAGACCTGAGCAAGTTGTTGCATGCCCCCTGCCCCCACTTCCCCTGCAACCATGGAGTAGACAGCTTTGAAATGACACATATAAATAATAATCTAGAATTTATTTTTTCTAGAAGAGACTTAGACAAATCCAATATCCATCAAGGTAACACGAGTCTATCTCTGAGATGGAAAGTGTCTTCCTCTCCCTGAATAGAGACTTTAAGGATCACTAGTGAATCTGGGAATAACTGGAGAGATACTCCCAATTCATCTAGAATGACTACTAACAATGGCACTATATTTCCTTTGAGTTCTGCAGTTTAGGGCATAGTTAGAAAAGATTTAAGATGTCCTTTCCCAACATTCTTTCCAATCCATTAGCGTAGAATAACTCCAGTTCCTGGATGTTCCAGTATTGTAGTTTCAAAAAATGGTAGAAGTACTGGCAGGAAAAGTCAGGGTGGATTCCAGTGAATTTAAGCCCCTGCTATAGAATCTCTTCTGTGAGCATAATAATGGTGTCTGGGTATCTGCATCACGCCGAGCCTCCTGCTTTAGTTGGTGGAATTTGTGCTGCGTCCAGCCATATACTCCACAGTTGAGTAGACCCTGAGATGTTGCCGTTAGAGCCTGGAGGAGATGAAGGGGTGATGCAGCCCATGCTTCAGGTTTTCAGGGATCCAGGGAATAATTCTCACTCCCCTTATTCATAAAGCATTGTTATATTTTCTCTATCTCAAACATGAAGATCTGACATCAGTTTTTTATATTTTTCTAGTTCATCCTGAACTCACTGTCTACACTACACTGTTACGGATGACTGAGAGTTGGTCATACTTCTTAGTATATACATAGGGACAATGAAATAGCTTCAGTGCCCCCCCTTATTGCCTCATTTTCCAGGGTACCCTTGAGAAAACTGTCTCATCGGAATAGTCAGATAGCCCAAAAATCTTCTTAAATCCAATAAAGAAAAAAAAGAGAGATGATCATTCCATCCCCTCCTCACCATTCACCAAGAATAGCTCATTTATCCCATTCAGTTTACTCTGGATGGGAGAGAACCATGTCACTATCAATGTTTCATAAGAACATACCTGGCAGATCTTGTTTATTTTTGCTGCCCATTCCTTAAAAACACATCAGTAAAATGAAGTTGACCAGAGATATATACGCTCTGGAATGCATGGAGGTACTTTTACAACATTATCTACCTCGACTTTGAGAAAATTTTCACATTCTTCATAACTGAGTGTAAATAATACATTTTCTCTTTTGCAATGTAGAAGTACCCGGAGGGAAAAAATCATCCTTACCGAGTAAAGGTAGTATAAGAAAATAGGATAAGCGGGTGTAAGAACAGAGATACTGAATGTTGAAGGTGTTACCTGGAGAACATAAAGGGCCATGTGAAGCTTGGTGTCCTGTGGCTTAGTCAGCTTTATGATCATTAGAATGACAGCTGTGAATACACAAAGTGTAAACCTTCTTGTCAGCCCTGACTGTCTGAAGTATCAGGTTCCTCCACACACGTCTGAGCATTATCAGAATGGAAACAATAGGCATAATAAAATCCATCAGTGACGTTAACTTGTTATGCAAACCAATGAGTCTTAGGCCTCCAACTTCTAGTCTTTACTGATGAAACTTTGTAGATTATTAGTGTAGTAATGGTAGCAGGATATACTACAGGAAGGTAATAATTTATACTTCCTATCAATTCAGATTTTCCCAAGCTCTTTCATAAAAATTATCCAATCTGGGCGGGCGCAGTGGCTCATGCCTACAATCCCAGCACTTTGGGAGGCCAAGGTGGGCAGATCACCTGAGGTCAGGAGGTTGAGACCAGCCTGGCCAACATGGCGAAACCCTGTCTCTATTAAAAATACAAAAATTAGCTGGGCATGGTGGCATGCGCCTGTAATCCCAGCTACTCGGGAGGCTGAGGCAGGAGAATTGCTTGAACCTGGGAGGCAGAGGTTGTAGTGAGCTGAGATTGCACCACTGCACTCCAGCCTGGGCAACAGAGTGAGACTCTGTCTCAAAAAAAAAAAAAAAAATTATCTAACCTGATCCTCACTATAACCTTATGTAGTAGGAAGGGCAGGTGTTAATATCTCCAAGTCTGTCACAATGTTTTCTCCTCTTATATCATGGTGCATCTCATGTCTAATTATCTCAATTTCTAAAACATAAGAAGCAAAAGGAGTTAAGGAGGGTAGTAAAAACTGGAAATATGGGTAGGGCCCATACAAATTTTATAAACTGAATAGGAATTTGCAGCCATCCTTCTTTTTTTTTTTTTTTTTGAGATGGAGTCTCGCCCTGTCACCCAGGCTGGAGTGCAGTGGTGCAATCTTGGCTCACTGCAAGCTCCACCTCCCAGGTTCACACCATTCTCCTGCCTCAGCCTCCCAAGTAGCTGGGACTATAGGCGCCTACCACCACGCCCGGCTAATTTTTTTTTTTTTTGTATTTTTAGTAGAGACGGGGTTTCACTGTGTTAGCCAGGATGGTCTCGATCTCCTGACCTCGTGATCCACCTGCCTCAGCCTCCCAAAGTGCTGGGATTACAGGTGTGAGCCACTGTGCCCGACCTCAGCCATCCTTCTTAGTGAGACCACTTTGCTTGATCAGAACCTAATAACTGCCCTCTTCACTGCCCATCTCTTCTTGTTAAGTACCTACCTGGGCCCCAGCAGCAAAAGAAGGCCACTGGGTAGAAGCGCACCCGTTGGTCCACAATGTGAATCACTGCCCACTGTTCACTCCCCAGAAAGCCAGTTGACTTCACAAACTTCTTATACAATGTCTGGGCTCGGATAAGTAAGACCTAAATATGAGTACAGCAGTGAGCAGTTTGCTTAAAGCTTAGTAAAATGCCCCAGGTCTATCCTCCTATCATTTTAAAAAGATTATTCTCTTAGAATCTCACAACAGGAACGACCCCATTCTCTTGTCTTTACTTTCTGAGATCAGGCTTTTTTTTAAGAGAAAATTACCTTCAGAGTGAACTTTTACTAGGCTAGGGAAATGGACAGGTAACTAGCCAAACTTGTGTATCACGTTTAACACATGAACCTTACATCAACCTCTGGGCATTTCCCCCCACTGAGGCTAATCACAGTTTACCCAGGAAGTTAAAAGTAAGCTCTAACTAGTTCCTCTTAAAACACTTTATTAGAGATTTTGTTAGAAAGTGTTCTATGCTTAACACTTCAGCACCATGGCTGAGCTTAAATTCTCAACTCTAAGCAACAGAAGTTTTAGAAAGTCACTTTGCACCCGGTGCGGTGGCTCACGCCTATAATCCCAACACTTTGGGAGGCTGAGGCAGGCAGATCACGAGGTCAGGAGTTCAAGACAGCCTGACCAGCATGGTGAAACCTGTGTCTACTAAAAATACAAAAATTAGCCAGTCGTGGTGGCATGTGCCTTTAATTCCAGCTACTCAGGAGGCTGAGGCAGGAGAATTGCTTGAACCTGGGAGGCAGAGGTTGTAGTGAGCTGAGATGCGCCATTGCACTCCAGCCTGGGCAACAGACCGAGACACCGTCTCAAAAAAAAAAAAGAAAGAAAGAAAGTCACTTCTTGCCTTTAGATGGAAAACAAATTGCTTTTTCCCTATTGTCAGCTGTCTGAATAAGGTTTAGCTCATGAAACAAATATAAATCAGTTCAAAAGTCCAATGTGTTTTTTTGCAAAAATTAAATTAGATAACACTCTTGGTAACAAATCTGAATCTTTTCCCTAATCCAGATCTACTCTCTAAATTAATAACCTCATTACTTAATCAAGTTCAGCCATGTACATAGTCTCTTTTCCCTACATAAGCATCAAAAGGAGACTTGAGTTTGAGAAAACTTAACGTCTAAAAGAATCAGTTCACCATCTGTTGATTTATTTATTTTTTTAGAGATGGAGTCTTGCTCTGTTGCCCGGGCTGGAGTGCAGTGGCACGATCTCAGCTCACTGCAACCTCCGCCTCCCGGGTTCAAGCAATTCTCCTGCCTCAGCCTCCCAAGCAGCTGGGACTACAGGTGCATGCCGCCATGCCCGGCTAATTTTTTTTGTATTTTAGTAGAGATAGGGTTTCACTGTGTTGCCCAGGCTGGTCTCAAACTCCTGAGCTCAGGCAATCTGCCTGTCTCGGCCTCCCAAAGTGCTAGGATTACAGGCATGAGCCACCATGCCCGGCCGCCATCTGCTGATTTTTAAAGAATCTAGAATGCTAATTCTGAATATACACTGAAACCTGGGCTATTCTAAAGAAGCAATCAGGAATCCTCAGGGTGCCAGGATTTGGGACCTGTCTCTCTTGTTAGTCAGTTCCAAACGTAAACCATCAAACCCATTTTAATATGAACTAGTTATTGTGTACTCTTTACAACCTGTTGATTTGAACTGAGCCATCTCGTGTGTGTGTGTGTGTGTGTGTGTGTGTGTGTGTGTGTGTGTGTGTGTTTTGAGACAGAGTATCCTCTGTTGCCCAGGCTGGAGGGGCACGATCTCAGCTTACTGTGACCTCTGTCTCCTGGGTTCAAGCGATTCTCATGCCTCTGCCTCCTGAGTAGCTGGGACTATATGCACATGCCACCATGCCTGGCTAATTTTTGTATTTTTAGTAGAGACGGGGTTTAGCCATGTTGGCCAGACTAGTTTCGAATTCCTGGCCTCAAGTGATCTACCCGCCTTGGCCTCTCAAAGTGCTGGGATTACAGGTATGAGCCATTGTGCCCAGGCAAACCAAGCCATCTCTATAACTTATGTTTGAATTGCCAAAGGAAATTCCCCATAACTGTATCTAGTTCACAGGTGCTAGTGGGACACATTTGATCTGCAGGTAGATACCTTGTAATTCTTGAACTGAAATATAAAAAGAGGAGAAAATGATACTGAAAAATAGATATGGGAAATACAAAGGCATATTTGCTCATTTACTGCTTTTGTATGAGGCAGTTATGTAACTTACTATCCCCTGGCTAATTATTCTAATTGTATATCATCCTGATGATATCAAATGAGTATCTGAAAACTTCATGAGCCACTTAGCACTTTAGCCCCAGTTAGACATAGCATAAATGCAAATTTATGGCCAAATGTAGAATTTAAAAAAGAAAATTATTTTATTATTTGGAAAATTAAATCAAAGCATATGTTCTATGTTTCAGAGTGTCATCCTAACTATGTAAAGGATATATTTGGCACATATGAGTTTTCTGGCCATAGGGGATTGATGAAGCCTATACTAGTTGTAGAGTGAGCATAATTTTCACCTAATAAATACAAGCTCTTTTCTCTCTCTTATCATTTGATTTGGGGAAGTGCAAAAGTCTGAGGCAGTAATTATATTGTCAAGATCTCCTAGCTACTTTCTTAGTTCTAGGACCACAAGAAGTGCCTCTCTGCCCCATCTTTCCCAGGTCCTGGGAATACTGGCCCATCCCCTTCATTTCCTCATCTCTCCACAAAGGAAGGTAGGGTGGTACCATACCATAATGGTAAGGAGGCTGAGTACAAAGCTGCCCAGGAAAATGGCGATACCATAAAAATAAAGTGTGCTACAGACAGATGTGTTGGCAGAAGGTGGAAGTTCAGCCATGGCTGATGGTGGTGAGTGCATCAAGATACACCTAGGAAGAAAATCAATAAACAGGAGTACTACTACAGATGTAAGAAAAGAGCTGCTCAACAAGACTTAATAAGCATGTTATTTTACTTATCATTTTGCTAACTCTTGCTCATAAAACCTTGTCTCTCCCCCACAGACACATTATCTTGTAGTCATTTTGTGTTACACTTTTACTTATATATTTTCAGCCTTTACTACATCTTGTTCCTTAGCCCATTTCTAATATTAGCACTTTGGTCAGAATTATGTGGAAAGTCTTTTTCCAGCTCTATTTATAGAAACAAATAGGTGTAGTCTGCCATGAAAATTATACATTTAGTTCTTACTTACTTGTGGCTCTGACTGAAGTTTTGGAAACATTCACTAGTATTTCCCAGACAGAATACAGGTGTCATCAATAGCAGAGGTATCAGGCTGGGAGGGAAAAAAAGTATCACCCTAATATCCACTCTTTTTCATGCCCTTCCTCCTTTGAAGAATATTCTCCTGCTCTTCCCTCAACTCTATCATCCCACCAATCTCCACAAATAACACATTTAATTTCTTCAAGAAAAATACCTCAAATACCTTAGGTATTCCTTCTTTTCCAGTTCCTAGGGAAGTACAATGCAGTAGGGAATTAATTTTATACCTAGGCTAATGAACGCTACCATAGTTTCACAGAGAATCTCTGGTAGCTGTATGGTCAGATAAAAATGCAAGTGAGTCAGAGTGAAAGGAAAATCTACTAAGGAGTTCTGTGTGCAGTCTGTTTTACTTTCTATGGTGACCAGGGATAATCTCATTCTCATCAGCCCCTTCTTGGGAGCTTTTCCAAAGTGTAGCTTTAAATAGCCAGCTATTTATCCTGCTAAATATAGCCAGCTCCCTGTAAGAGGAAAAGATCCAGGAACAAAAGTCACAAAGTCTAAAACCAACTCTGATATGGCCACCACTTTAGGTGAGATCCAAACCCTTTCTGGACTCTGTAATCCTAAGAGTCTTACCCAATGTTATAAAGTAGATGATATCCTGAAGGCCATCTATTACAACTCTTTATGATACAGGAAAAGGAATAAGTGATCCAAAGACTCAAAGAAATTTGTTCAAGGTTAGTTACATAGAGTTGATGGTAGATTTGGAGCTAAAACCCAAATCTATAACATCAAGCTACTTCCCTATTCAATGTGGAAAAATGGAAGCAATGAACACGTATTTGTTGTTTCTAAGTTAGGCTCTGTGAGGACTTAGGACTGACAATGGAAATAAAGGGCACTGTCCTATTTGTTCCCACCTGAACACCAGAATAATGAGAGTCTACACCTCGCTAAGAAGTAAAGAAAAAATTTTACCTTGAGAAAACAAAGGCCATTTGACAAACTCGACAAGTATAATCTATCACCTGTGAAAAGAATAAATGTGAGAAATGTCTTAAGACATTGTCAATCATATAATAATAAATACCAGATCATCAGTTAACACTCAATAGAACAAAAAGATTTCCAAAAGCCAGTTTGCTTCTGTCAAGCAATATTTGCTATAAAATTCATCAAATAGATAGTTCCTTATTAGCACTGTATATAATAGAATTTTATCTCTATTACTATATTCTAAAAAGTACAACAACAACAACAACAAAGCCACAAAGAAAGCCTGCAGGAAGTAGCCTAATATGGACTTTGGGCACTCAAACAAATTCTTTTAAAAAGAAAGGCATATATGAAATCATATAGTAACCCTCTATCTTCTAATAACAGTTCAGCTCTTTTCTCTTAGACCCAGAGATGTGTGGACTTCTTCAGACTTTATGAGTGGAATGAAACCCTTCTTATAAGACGACCAGTAAAAAGTGTAATAGTCCAGGATTAGTATAATAGGGCAGGGTCAAATATGCCCTTTGGATATAAGACTGTTAGACACTACACGATAGAACATTTTCAAAATCTTGACTTGTGTTAGACACTGTAAAACAACTTACAGAATAGTTTTTCCTACCCTCTAGGACCTTATGATGTAAGACTTTGAACAGAACATCTTAAAGAAATAATAGAATTAAAAATAAGCTTTTTTCTAATTTAAGATAGAAAACATATATTTGGAATGGCATTGTTAGGGATCAATAAGCATTAAGTGAGTAATTAATCAATAATCAGATATTGGTAATTAATTTGCCCCAAACAGTTTGGAGCAGGAATAGGACAGCTAGCATTGACTTTAGGAAAATAAATAAAATTGTTTTTTGTGACCCCTCCCACTCACTTCCCTTCTTCACTTTTTATTCTTTCCTCTGTCAGGTGGTTATCCAGTGTTTAACTCCTATTTTTACCTGGGTACCAATGAATCTCTGATAAAAAGCTTATTGCTGGCTGGGTGCAGTGGCTCATGCCTGTAATCCTAGCACCATGGGAGGCCGAGACAGGTGGATCACGAGGTCAAGTGATTGAGACCATCTGGGCCAACATAGTGAAACCCTGTCTCTACTAAAAATACAAAAATTAGCTGGGTGTGGTGCCATGCACCTGTAGTCCCAGCTACTCAGGAGGCTGAGGCAAGAGAATTGCTTGAACCCGGGAGGTGGAGGTTGCAGTGACCAGAGATCATGCCACTGCACTCCAGCCTGGTGACAGAATGAGAATCCGTCTCAAAAAAAAAAAAAAAAAAAAAGTTTATGGCAGAAGTCTTGCTAGAGTATTTCAAAGAGAACTCAGGCCTAACACAGTGGCTCACATCTGTAATCCCAGCACTTTGGGAGGCCAAGGCAGAAGGATCACTTGAGCCCAGGAGTTCGAGACTAGCCTAGGCAACATAGTATGACCTCCTACTCCGCCCATCTCTACAAAACTACAATTAAAAAAAAAAAAAAGAAAAAATTAGCCAGGCATGGTGGCACACATCTGCGGTCCCAGCAACTTGGGAGGCTGAGACGGGAGGATCACTTGGGCCCAGGAGATTGAGGCAGCAGTGAACTGTGATCATATTACTGCACTCCAGCGTGAGTGACAGAGTGAAACCTTGTATCAAAAAAATAAAAAGAAAAGAAAACCCAAAGAAGAAAAAGTATCTTCAAAGCTCTGTGTGTGTGTGTGTGTGTGTGTGTGTGTGTGTGTGTGTGTGTGTGTGTGTGTGTATGGAGCTACTACAACAGCAGACTAATAGGTAGTGGAGTTAATATCTTAGGCTATGGTTGGGCATGGTGGCTTATGTCTGTAGTCCCAGCACTTTGGGAGGCTGATGTGGGTGGATCACCTGAGGTCAGGAGTTCAAGACCAGCCTGGCCAACATGGCAAAACCCTGTCTCTACTAAAAATACAAAAATTAGCCGGGTGTGGTGGCATGCACCTGTAGTCCCAGCTCCTCAGGAGGCTGAAGCAGGAGGATCGCTTGAACCTGGGAGGCGGAGGTTGCAGTGAGTCAAGATTGCACCACTGCACTCCAGCCTGGGCAACAGAGTGAGACTCTGTCTCAAAAAATATATATATATATGTATGTATATTTTCCCTTCTTCATATATATATATCTATACATATAAAATACTTTTTCCTCTTTGGGTTTTCTTTTCTTTTTATTTTTTTGAGACAGGGTTTCACTCTGTTACTCAGGCTGGAGTGCAGTGGTATGATCACAGCTCATTGTGGCCTCAATCTCCTGCCCCCCACATATATATATATACATACACACACACACACACACATATATATACACACATATATATGTGTATATATATATATATATATATACACACACACATATATATGTGTGTATATATATATATATATCTTCGGCTAAAGCTTTTCTTCTTGAAACCAGTGATAGAGTATGGGTTATAAAGAGAAGTACAGTATATGCATTTGTATGCATAGAAAGCAGTAGGATACCATATTTGAGAGCTAATCTTATGTCCTTCCCATTTTTCTTTCAAATATTTTTTTGTTCTGCTGCCAGGAGCTTAAGCCTCAGAAAATTATTGCCCCATGTTTTCTCCATTCTTGGCTTCTGGTCTAATCATGGCAACTTCTTTAGGGAATGACTTGTGGCTGAATAAGTCTCACAAGCTACAGTTAGTCTACTGGCTTTTGAGTGAATGAATGAATAAATAAAAACTTGAAATGCTATCCCTGTAAGGCTGCTGGACTTTTTAGACATTCATTTACCTAAAGGGAAAGATACTGAATAATTATTTCTTTACAGTATCTTTCAGTTACAGAATACTAAAGGATATATAGCCACGGGTCCTTACTAACTTGTAGGGAGCTAAGAAACTAAGCGAGTTTAAAATATGGAAGAGTAGGCCGGGCGCGTTGGCTCATGCCTGTAATCCCAGCACTTTGGGGGGCTGAGGAAGGCAAATCACGAGGTCAGAAGATCGAGACCATCCTGGCCAACATGGTGAAACCCCATCTCTACTATAAATACAAAAATTAGCTGGGTGTGGTGGCATGTGCCTGTAATCCTAGCTACTTGGGGGGCTGAGACAGAAGAATCGCTTGAACCAGGGAGTCGGAGGCTGCAGTGAGCCGAGCTTGTGCCACTGCACTTCAGCCTGGCGACAGAGCGAGATTCCATCTCAAAAAAAAAAAAAAAAGAGTAATTATTAGTATGGAATACCCAGAGGTAAACTAAAGAAAAGGTGCCAGAGTATAATCCTGTGTTGCACAATATAGTAGCTGCATGTGGCTAATTAAATTAAAATTAATTAAAATTAAATAAAATTTAAAATTCAATTCCTCAATCACACTAGCCACATTATAAGTTTTCGGTATCCACATATAGCTAGTAGCTACTGAACTAGACTGTGAATTAAATATTTTTATTATTGAAAAAAGTTGAACAGCTCTTATATAGACAATGATATCTTGTTCAGGATACTGCTTAAGGGCCTCTTCATGTTACTTTTTCAGTTATTTCCTCAGTGTCCTTTCTCCTTAAAGCAAGAAAGAGTAAGAGACAGAAATTTTAAAAGCATTCTCTGCCCCTACCCTTCTTCAAACATGAACGTCTAGAACAACATAAAAAAGTAAGAAGAGTACCTCCTTAAGAAGTCAATCAGATGAAGAGTTCATAGAATCATAGCATCTTGGGGGTGGAAGGGACATTAAAGATCACATAGACTAACATTTCATTTTATTTTATTTTTATTTTTATTTTTTTAGACAGAGTTTTGCTCTCGTTGCCCAGGCTGGAGTGCAATGGTGCAATCTTGGCTCACCGCAACCTCTGCCTCCTGGGTTCAAGCAATTCTCCTGCCTCAGCCTCCCAAATAGCTGGGATTACAGGCATGCGCCACCATGCCTGGCTAATTTTGTATTTTTAGTAGAGACGGGGTTTCTCCATATTAGTCAGGCTGGTCTCAAACTCCTGACCTCAGGTGATCCACCCATCTTGGCTTCCCAGAGTGCTAGGATTACAGGTGTGAGCCACCACGCCCGGCTAACACTTCATTTTGTTTGCTTGTTTTTGTTTTTGTTTTGTTTTGTTTTTTTGAGACGGAGTCTCTCTCTGTCGCCCAGGCTGGAGTGCAGTGTGGCATGATCTCGGCTCACTGCAAGCTCCGCCTCCCGGGTTCATGCCATTCTCCTGCCTCAGCCTCCTGAGTAGCTGGGACTACAGGCGCCCGCCACCACGTCTGGCTAATTTTTTGTATTTTTAGTAGAGATGGAGTTTCACCGTGTTAGCCCGAATGGTGTCAATCTCCTGACCTCGTGATCTGCCCGCCTTGGCCTCCCTAAGTGCTGAGATTATAGGCATAAGCCACTGCGCCCGGCCAACACTTCATTTTACAATGAAAAATTGGAGGTGCAAGAAAGGGAGATGATATGTCTAAGGTCACAACAGGAGATAAATAACAGAACTGGGTCTCGCAGGGTTGGCATGGAGTCAAGAAGAATTTCCCTTGCTGAGTCAAACCAGGCAGGAATGCCAGCACTGTAAATAATACTCCTATAATCAAACCTGTATGTGTATGTGTGTGTGTGTGGGTGTGTGTGTGGGTGTGTGTATGTGTGTGTGAGAGAGAGAAGGGAGAAGAGGAAGTGATGTCAAAAGAATGGAAACAGTGGGAACACGTTTTTTCTTCAATTAACCTCCATAAATGCACCTAGCTAGTGCTAAATGCTTACACCGTTTATCAGGGATATACAGGGATTGTTTTTACACACTTTTTTTTTTTTGAGACAGGGTCTGTCTCTGTCACCCAGGCTGGGGTACAGTGGCTCAAGTGATCCTCCCACTTCAGCCCCCGGAGTAGCTAGGACTCCAGGCATGTGCTACAATGCCCGGCTAATTTTTTTGGTATTTTTTGTAGAGATGGGCTTTCACCACTTGCCCAGACTGGCCTCGAATTCCTGGGCATAAGCAATCTGCCCCCCTCAGCCTCCCTAACTGCTGGGATTACAGGTAGGAGTCACCACACCCGGCCTAGCATACTATTATTAACTATCAGCCCTGAATAAAACTTACCAGTGGAGATGTGCTCTGTCCACTCTGGGTGTGTTTCATCCTCAGCTCTGTGTACAAATACCAGATGTAATTGACGGTGTAGAGAAATGAGGAAATGTAGAATATCTAGGTTAAAATCAAAACAACCCATCATAACTATCTCACTCTGACACTGTGAAGTTCTTTCAACATACTTCATTATTTTCTATTATGAGAATCCTACCTACTAGTCTATTAGTAATGTACCATCTAGTGTCCATACCAGGCAAAACCATACCAAGTCTGAAATTCTTTTTTGTGTGTGTATGTGACAGAGTTTTCGCTATTGTTGCCTAAGCTGGAGTGCAATGGCACAATCTCGGCTCACTGCAACCTCTGCCTCCCAGGTTCAAGCGATTCTCCTGCCTCAGCCTCCCGAGTAGCTGGGATTACAGACACGTGCCACTACGCCCCGCTAATTTTATTGTATTTTTGGTAGAGATCGGGTTTCACCATGTTGGCCAGGCTGGTCTCGAACTCCTGACCTCAGGTGATCCACCTGCCTTGGCCTCCCTAAGTGCTGGGATTACAGGTGTGAGCAATCGCACCTGGCCCCAAGTCTGAAACTCTAACAGGCCTACCTAAAACATGCCCTGCTTCCTTATTTTATCCTTTGGACTGTTCAAAAGAACCACAGCATTATCCACCTCTACCTGCCCCACAGTCCCACTTTTACGAAGATATCATATAATCTTTTTCTATTTTATTTTTTAATTGAAAAGGCAATAAGGATTTCTACTTCTAGTAATGACAGGCTAAGCTATTTGAATCAACTTTCCATTCAAAAGAACTAAACATGCTGAATAAGATATTTTTTAAAAAATCCTTAAAAGAACCTAAGAACTGAGATGATATCAAGGAACTAGTAGGATAAAATCTAAGAGAAGGAATTTCTACTTCCAGCTTTGATGAGATAACAGGAATAGAATTTACCCTCCAGCCTTAAACAACTAAAAATTGAATAAAATATATGAAAATATCCAGTTTTCAAACAGTAGGCAACAAGCAGAAGAGAACAGCAATCCCTGAAAAAAGAAAAGCAAGGCGAGTCCATCAAGTACCCCAGCTCACCAGCTGGTAAGAGCGAGTATAGGAGGGCTGGGCACAGTGGCTCACCCTGTAATCTCAGCACTTTGTGAGGCCGTGGTGGGCAGATCATGAGGTTGAGATCGAGATTATCCTGGCCAACATGGTGAAACCCCATCTCTACTATAAATACAAAAATTAGAGTGAGTACAGGAGGGGGAATCCAAACAGACCACTGTCTTGGTGAGCTGAGCGACAGAATTCAGTTTGGGAGGCCAAGGCAGCTAAAATTTGTGAAGTACAGTATCAGAGCAGAGGAAGCTATATGGTAAGACAATGCTCAGGAGAGCTGCAGAGGTCACCCCAAGTCTTTGGTTAAGTATTAATCAATGTATATGGAAGAGAAAACCATGAAAACCAGAGAAAGAATCCTCAGAAAAGAGTAGGTGGGACAATCCCTAAAGCTCACACAGGGCCAGGAATAGTTTGTTTGCTTTCTCATCAATCAGAGTGGAAGAATACACAGGGCATAATCATAAGAAGAGTATTGCTTCTGTAATGGGACCAAATTAGCTGTACATAAAAGGCTGCCCTCACAAGGCTTAAAAGCAAGCCTAATTAGTGGGGGTGGTGGTGTATGCCTGTAATCCCAGCTACCCTGGAGCCTGAGGCAGGCAAATCACTTGAGCCCTGGAGATGGAGGTTGCACTGAGACAAGATCGCGCCACTGCACTCCAGCCTGGACGACAGAGTGAGACTCCATCTAAAAAAAAAAAAAAAAAAAAAAGCAAGCCTTTAAAAAACAGGCAAACCTTGAAAAGGTCAGGAGTTCGAGACCAGCCTGGCCAATATGGTGAAACCCCCATCTCTACTAAAAATACAAAAATTAGCCAGGCATGGTGGTGTGTGCCTGTAGTCCCAGCTACTTGGGAGGCTGAGGCAGGAGAATCGCTTGAACCCAGGAGGTGAAGGTTGCAGTAAGCCGAGATCGAGCCATTGCACTCCAGCCTGGGCAACAGAGCTAGACTCCATCTCAAAAAAAAAAAAAAAAAAAAAAAAAAGAAGAAGAAATAGGTAATTTCATTTACGCCCAGTAGAGGGAACCAGGATGTCATTGTATCTGTTAGATTTTTTTTCAGCCCTCATAGCAGATACATAAGCATTCTAAATTTGACCCTTCTTGAAGTTTTCAGGTTTAAAATTTTGTAACACCTTAAGTGATATTGTTAAAAACCTCAAGAACTGTAATTAATGTTAACATTCTTCAATAGCAAAGATAAATGATTATTAATTTATCATCTTAACTACTTTGTATTATTTTGAGAGACTCAGGACTCATCTTTATTTTGTTAAACTCCCAGAGACACAAATATTCATTGAATGACTACCTTGCATAAAGAAGAATCTATGATAGGGAAGACAAATGAGAACCTTCTGCTTAATCTCATACAGATAGTCCCTAACTTTATAATTGTACAACTTATAATTTTTCAACTTTATTATGGTATAAAAGAGATATGCATTCAGTAGAAACTGTACTTCTTTATGTACCCATACACCCATTCTGTTTTTCACTTTCAGGACAGTATTCAATAAATTAAATGAGATATTCAACACTTTATTATAAAATAGGCTTTGTGTTTTGCCCAACTGTAGGCTAATGTAAGTGTTCTGAGCATGTTTAAGTTAGGCTAGGCAAAGCTATGATGTTTTAATTCCACAATCTGTTTCTTTAAATTTTCAACCATCTCCTAAACTGAAGCTTTATGTTTAGAACAATGTTTTCCTCTAGTATAACTTGATTCTGTACTCCTGGATTTTCTTGATTTGTCAAAATTGTTCCATGTAACCAGACAATTTCACATGCTTTTACTTTTTCTAAAATCCATACATTCCCCTTGCCAAGACCAGCTTGGTCATGGAGACCCTAACCCAGTGGTGCTAGAGGAATTAAAGACACACACACAGAAATATAGTGTGGAGCGGGATCAGGGGGCTGACAGCCTTCAGAGCTGAGAGCCCTGAACAGAGTTTGACTCACATATTTATTGACAGCAAGTCAGTAATAAGCATTAGTTCTATAGATTATAGATTAACTAAAAGTATTCCTTACAGGAAACAAACGGATGGGCCAAAACAAAGAGATGGGCTCTGGCTAGTTATCTGCAGCAGGAACATGTCCTTAAGGCGCAGATCGCTCAGGATATTGTTTGTGGTTTAGGAACACCTTTAAGTGGTTTTCCACCCTGGGTGGGCCAGGTGTTCCTTGCCCTCATTCCAGTAAACCCACAACCTTCAGCGTGGGCGTCATGGCCATCACAAACATGTCACAGTGCTGCAGAGATTTTGTTTATGGCCAGTTTGGGATTTGGGGGCCTGTTCCCAACACCCCTGCTTAAGATACTAGTTTTCTTGTTTACTTCTCCTATAAAACTGTGTACACTCTCATAATCTTGAACACATACTCTTCCAGTATCTGATTAAAACCCATTTATGCCTAGTGTTCCATTATTGGAATGCTAAGCATGTAGAAGTTACATCCTACTGCTCAAGGTCATCCCCAAGGTCTGATTTTTCACACGTCTGCAATTCAAAAAAGCTGCAACCTCCAGCATAAATGGGTTAAAGTCAAGTACCTTTTCATCAGATTTGACTCCCAGGTCATCTAAATGAACTTTCCATAAAAAGAAAAAAAAATCATATTACAGGTTTTTCTTTAAATTCTTGATAACTGGCCTAAAAAAACCAAAGATTTTACATTTAATCAAAATAATTTCCTGTGTTTCATATTGTTATATTGGGTTTTTAATTAAAGTGTTAAAAAATTTATATCCACATAAATTTCTGTACTTGCTTTTAAAGACTTTTTTTTTTTTTTTTGCTTTTAAAGACTTTTGATGGTCACTCTGGTTAAATAAATGATTATTATTTCATAGTGACATGTGATCCTGTTTTGAGCAAGTGTTTTAAACCTTTTAACATCTTTGACAGGCTTCCCCAGAATCAGACTCTAAATTAAGTCTTTTTTGACTTCAAACTAACTTTGGGTTATTCCATTTGGCCTCAGAACTTCTCAAAAGTTTATAAAAGAGAAATATTAAACAAAATCAGGCTTACTTGAGATGTCAAATTATATGGAAAACATTGTCAAAAGGTAAGTGATGTTAGATCTACTTTCAGTTACTTTTATGGGTATGTTATTGATATAAATGTTCCAAAATTGTACAAAACTCTTAAAATCTAATATGGTATCAGTCATAATTCTGATTACTATTTTATACCACAAAAATAACCACATTTAATTGTGAATGTCTGGTTATGGTAAACTTTCACCAGATTTTACATGGTTATTCAAAGGTTGTGTCATCCTCAGTTATTGTTTTCATTCTTCCCTACAGGTATCTGCAATCAGATTCATGAAAAAGACTCTAACAAGTACTCTTAAATACAAATTTCTAATAACTTCAATATTAATGGACTAAATACAAATTTTCCAAAACTCCAATGCAAAAATTAATAAATCTGCAAAACTGCTAATCAAGATAAAACCAAAAAATTAGTTACATGAGATTAAATAACATAAAAGTAATGTTTTTATGACTTTTATTTAAAAGTTTATTTGGAATTAAAGTATTTGGCTGGCTAAAACAAATACATTTTTTAAAACCTTGTTGTTTTTTGTTTCCTGTTGGGACTCAGGAAAAAGAAAAAACACTGTTGGTTCTTTACTTAAATGTTTTGTTTTCCAAATTTTAAAAACTGGTCGGGCCAAGGATCACTCATCTGGTTTGGGAGATCCAGCCTAGCAGGTACAAGGTAAAAAACATGCTTTTCTCAGAGGTTAATTTACATATAAGCACTGAGTTCAGCTAGAAGCCTTGAAACTTATATTCCTCCCTGCTCAGCCACCTTGCTGCTCCTGTTGAGGGAGGGCTACCGTGCCCATCCAGGAAAGAAATAGTTCAAGTCTTCTGAGAAACGTAGGAGTTCAGAGTAAGGTGAGATGAGAAGACAGAATCACAGATAGAATTTGAATAGGTTAGGGGGAAGAGGGTTGGGCATTCTAAACAAAGGGCTAGAATAGGAAAAGGGGCAGAGACAGGAATAAGGATGTCTAGTTTCCCACAGGAACTTAGTGCTTCATACAGTGCCAATCAATAGTAGGTCCTCAGTAAATATTTTGATCAATAGTAGGTAGTCAGTAAATATTTTGTTGGATGGCTAAAAGATATTCAGGCCACCTGCATACCTAGAGCATCTCAAACTTGGTACATAAAACAAGTGGCAGTATCTTGGGGAATAATCAAAGCACCAAAACAAAAATGGCAACAATTTTACCAGATTTACTAGTAGGTAAACTAAAACTTTTAAAAATTTAAAACAAATATACTCATGCATATATTTATTTTAATTTTATACATCATATGGGATTATATGGCAGGGGGGCTTTGTAAATTGCAAAGTTCCAATAAATTCTTTTTAAAAAATGGCTGGGCATGGTAGCTCACACCTGTGATTCCAATACTTTGGTAGTCCTAGCCAAGAGGATCACTTGAGGCTAGGAGTTTGAGACCAGCCTGGACAACATAGCAAGACCTCATCTCTACAAAAAATAAAATAAAATAAAATTAGCTGGGCATGGTGGTGCACACCTGCAGTCCCAGCTACTCAGAGCTACTCAGGAGGCTGAGGTGGTGGGGTGGCGGGGGTGGCGGGGGTTGCTTGAGCTTAGGAGTTAGAGGCTGCAGTGAACTATGATTGCGCCACTGTGCTCCAACCTGGGCAATAGGGCAAGGCCCTCTCCCCCAACCCCCACCCCCAAAAAAGAAAGAAAACAAAAACAAAAACAAAATCTTTTTCTCTTAAGCTATCTACAGTTTACACTAATTTGATAAAATATGCTTTTATAAAGAAAAGTAAAATCATTTACTTTTTCTCCCTACTTGATCCCTTCAAAACTAAAAAACTACCCATAAGTATTCTTATTCTTATAACAATATAGTTGATTCCACAAGTTCAATAAAAATATGCTATTTTTATAATGGAATACAATTTAAAACATTGCTTATATATATTAGCAAGGTTTTGACTAGAATGTCATATTTAAATTGTTTATAGATACTATGGACAAAGTCTAAAGTCTGCCTTCATTTGGCTTCCTAGACTTAAGAACTTTTTAAATCTGAAATTACAGTGTGGTCAGTTGCTATTCCTGCTGCACTTATATTAATGATCAGGTAATATTTGATAAAACTAAACTATTTTACAAACAATTTAGTCTTACTCTATTATCTTTGGTAAAAATCGCAATTATGGTAAAGAAAAAACTTATGTTTCTAAGAAAATCTGTAATACACCTGTTATTAGACTGTGGCCCTGAGGAATTGTTTTCAAGTTTTTATTATGTACCTATAGAATGGACTAGATCCTAAAATCTTCTAGGTACCTCCAATCCAACCTTCTTCCATAAAATTACTAAAACCAGGAAATGCTGTTCCTAAAACCCTGTAAACTAAAACCAAATAGGTCAGGGTGATGGCTCATGCCTGTAATCCCAGCACTTTGGAAGACCGAGGCGGGTGGATCACCTGAGGTCAGGAGTTCAAGATCAGCCTGGTCAACATGGTGAGACCCCGTCTCTACTAAAAGTATAAAAATTAGCTGGGCATGGTAGTGCACACCTGTAGTCCCTGCTACTCAAGAGGCTGAGGCAGGAGAATCACTTGAACCTGGAAGGCAGAGGTTTCAGTGAGCCAAGATCGCACCACTGCAATCCAGCCTGGGTGACAACAGTGAGACTCCCTCTCAAAAACAAAACAAAACAAAACAAAACAAAAAAAACAACCAAAAAAACCTTAAACTAAAGAAATTTTAAGAGATGGGTCTTGTGCCCGGGGTATGGGCAACACAGAAAGTTCACTGGACTGCCCAATGCCATAACCAGAGACATTAAAAACTACAAACCAAGATGAGAAATTGATGCCTTTATGCTGTGGACATCTTTCCCCAGAAACAATGGAATAAGACTCCCCATCATAATGAGACTCTTGCCTCTTAATTTTTCCTTGCTTATGCCTACCTCTTTCACTTGGCAGAACATTGGTGTAATTAAAATTTCACAATCAGTAGCCACTGCAGATAACTTGACAAGATCTGATCTTAAAAAAAAAAAAAAAAAAAATCCTTTAGAACAGGATAGAGAGCCCAGAAATAAGGCTGCACATCTACAACTATCTGATCTTCGACGAAGCTGACAAAAACAAGCAATGGGGAAAGGACTCCCTATTCAATAAATGGTGCTGGGATAACTGGCTAGCCATATGCAGAAGATTGAAACTGTACCCTTTCCTTACACCATATATAAAAATTAACTCAAGATGGATTAAAGACTTAAATGTAAAACCCAAAACTATAAAAATCCTGGAAGACAACCTAAGTAATACCATTCTGAACATGGAAACAGACAAAGATTTCATGACAAAGACATCAAAAGCAATTGCAAAAAATGCAAAAATTGCCAAATGGGATCTAATTAAACTAAAGAGCTTCTGCACAGCAAGAGAAATTACCAACAGAGTAAACAGACAACCTACAGAAAGAAAGAAAATTCTTGCAAACTATGCATCTGACAAAGGTCTAATATCTAGCATTTATAAGGAACTTAAAAATCAACTTATAAGAAAAAAGCCTCATTAAAAAGTGCACAAAGGACATGAACAGATACTTTTCAAAAGAAGACATACATGCAGCCAACAAGCATATGAAAAAAAGCTCAACATCACTGATCACTAGACAAACGCAAATCAAAATCACAATGAGATACTATCTCACACCAGTCAGAATGGTGTGGTTACACCACAGATGCTGGTGAGGTTGTAGAGAAAAGGAAATGCTTATACACTGTTGGTAGGAGTGTAAATTAGTTCAACCATTGTGGAAAACAGTGTGGTGATTCCTCAAAGACCTAAAGACAGAAATACCATTCGACTCAGCAATCCCATTACTGGGTATGTGCCCAAAGGAATATAAATCATTTTATCATAAAGACACATGCACACATACGTTTGCTGCAGCACTATTCACAATAGCAAAGACATAGAATCAACCTAAATGTCCATCAATGGTAGACTGGATAAAGTAAATGTGGTACATATATATCATGGAATACCATACAGTCATAAAAAAGGACAAGATCATGTCCTTTTCAGGAACATTGATGGAGCTAGTGGCCATGATCCTTAGCAAACTAACATAGAAACAGGAAACCAAATACCACATGTTCTCATAAGTGGGAGCTAAATGATGGGAATACATGGACACATAGAGGGAAACAACACACACTGGGGCTTATCAGAGAATGGAGGGTGGAAGGAGGGAGAGGATCAGGAAAAATAACTAATGGGTACTAGGCTTAAAACCTGGGTGATGAATGAATCTGTACAACAAACCCCCATGACACAAGTTTACCTATATAACAAACCTGCCCATGTACCCCTGAACTTAAAATAAGAGTTAAAAAAAAAGGAAAAAAAAATCATTTAGCCTACCTAGTAGGTGATGTTAGCAACATCCCAATACAACTTTTTGTTCAGCTTGCACTAAGTTTTCAAACTGACTTAGTGGCTGGGCACGGTGGCTTGGCCGGGTGCGGTGGCTCATGCCTGTAATCCCAGCACTTTTGAGAGGCTGAGGTGGGCGGACCATGAGGTCAGGAGATCGAGACCATGTTGGCCAACATGGTGAAACCCCATTTCTACTAAAAATACAAAAATTAGCTGGGTGTGGTGGCATGCGCCTGTAATCCCAGCTACTTGGGACGCTGAGGCAGGAGAATCACTTGAACCTGGAAGATGGAGATTGCAGTGAGCCAAGATTGAGCCACTGCACTCCAGCCTGGTGACAGAGCGAGATTCCATCTCAAAACAAAACAAAACAAAAAAAACACACACACAACTGACTTGCTGACTTGGCTCTCTCTGCTTCAAATCAACCCAGTCATAAAATGCTAAGTAATAAGATTGCTATCTACTAGCTGAACAACAACAATAACAAAAAGTCTAAGATATTACTAATACTACATGGTGTGGATAGATAAATTCCTCTGGAAAAGCTGAGACCCATATACACATAATTTAAAAGCAGGCCACATAAATACAAGAGGTCTGTGATGGTTAATACTGAGTGTCAACTTGATTGGATTGAATGATGCAAAGTATTGTTCCTGGGTGTGTCTGTGAGGGTGTTGCCAAAGGAGATTAACATTTGAGTCAGTGGACTGTGAAAGGCACACCCACCCTTAATCTGGGTGGGCACAATCTAATCAGCTGCCAGTGTAGCCAGAATGAAAAACAGGCAGAAGAACCTGAAAAGACTAGCCTGGCTTAGCCTCCCAGCCTACATCTTTCTCCCGTACTGGATGCTTCCTCTTCTTGAATGTCAGACTCCAAGTTCTTCAGCTTTGGGACTCAGACTGGCTTCCTTGCTCCTCAGCTTGCAGACAGCCTATTGTGGGACTTTGTGATCATGTGAGTTAATACTCCTTAATAAACTCCCCTTTATATATACATCTATCCTATTAGTTCTGTCCCTCTAGAGAACCCTAATACAAGGTCTCACCTAATTCCCCATGGTCATTTGATTTATTCAACTGGTTGCCTTTAATCCTAGGTTCATGGCTCAAAACTATTATGTGAAATGAGATTATCATATTACTATGAACTTTACTTTGTATTTTTTTAACTTTGTACCTATTACTTCCCAAATTTCTACAAAAGTACAACTCCTAACAAAATAATGCTGGCCCAACACTTTGTGATGATAACAACACTTACAAAATAGCAAAATTAAACTTAACAATAGACTCCACCTGGTAGACTTACCCTGTGAGCCACTCCCTCCAAACTTCCCTTGTTGCTCAAATGTGACTAAAAGAGTTTGACACTAACTCCTAGTCACCAATGACTCCCTTCGACATGGGACCAGACCAACAACCTGAGACAAATCCATCCTGACACCAAGAAACAATCAAACATAATTTTCAATCAAACAACCAGGATGACTGATCAGCAATGCTTTCAGAAAAAGATCTTGATCAAAGGGGAGAAATGCGAAAATTGTCAGAATCAAAATGGAGTCACTCGGGTCAAATCCCTGACAAATGGAGCCAGGGAAGGCCAAGAACGGAGGTTCTCATGCACATATGCCTGATAATAAGAACCATCACAAAAGATCCTGCAAAAATCACAACATTGCACATAGGCCACTTCAACCTTACACACACAAAAAGTACTTATGCAAGGATATCTGCCTAACAACTGCCGTCTAACCTTGGACTGATGCCACGCTTGTTAATCCTTGTATCCAAAGATAACAATTACGTAATCCTCCTTATTTTTCCTTTAAAAATCCTTGTTTTCCTTTACCTCCCTGAATATGCCCATCATATTCCCATTGCAGTGCTTACTTCTGAATAAATTCTATTTCTTTTAGAGAGTCTCTCTCTCTGTTATTTAGGCTGACAACCTCAATAGCTTACTTAGTTCACTCTTCTACAAGAACACATTTAAAACTATCACAAACATGTGGTTGTCTAATTCTCTGTAAAATGATCTTGACTAGATGGCAGCTCAAGATTATCATAGAAAATAGTTTCCAATAAAGCATAAAAATACTATCATATTTTCATTTAATTACACATCAGTATTAACCCTAGTTTAATGTTTAAAAAACCAAAAATAAAAAATAATTACACGCCAATAAAGCTGAAAAAATCTATTTTTTGCTATTGATTAGCAAAAATTTAATCTCCTTTGATATCTAAACCATTAGAAGATCCTAAAAAATCACAATAATAATGTTACATAAACCCATAGCCACTGTAAAATTTAGGCCTTAGAGTTAGGCAAACTAAGTCCAAAAGGTCACTGAGGGAGTGAGACTACATTAACAAGCAAAGATCATAAAATTTAATTCTATATGGGAGAATATGTTTTCTATTGCCAGGCAGATGCAGACCCTGTTTTCTATTGCCAGGCAGATGCAGAAAGTAATCGATCAGTAAGGATGTGCAGGAATGAAAGGATTGCAAGTGAATCCTCTGTTTGAGGAAGTAGGGAGAGATTCTATATTACCTTGAAAAATAAACAGAACAATAATAGTTTATACTAATCAAGGGCACTTTACATTTGTTATCTAATTTCTTCTTCACAACAACTCTTAAGAACCTTGTCATTATTCTTATTTTACAAGATAAAACTAAGACTTAGAGAAGTTCACTTGCTTAAAAAGTCACAGAGCTAACAGCTGTGAAAGCTGTTGGCAGCTGTTGAACCCAGGTCCGATCGACTGCAAACTACAGCTTTAATTCTAAGCCTTAAACTTCATGTCATTTGCAACCCAAACTGGTGTCTCTAACATATCTGACTAGCACATTCTTCCAGGAAATAAAACGGTTCACTAAGAAAATATAGCTGATGGCACTTCAACTTGTATCAAAGTATACAGAAGAATAGCCAAGATTAAATGGAAAGGCTGACTGGGACAGTGTCTGGCATTGTTTTTTCTGTATCTTGTTTTTCCATAGCAGTTTTCCTGGTAAACATAGATCAGTCAGGGTGGTGGGAAAAATTGTAGAAAGATGCAAACCTTCTTGGAAGGCCAGAAGTTTTCACAAAAGCTTTGGAAAAAGATTTGGCTGAAGGTAGCCAGATTCTCTTATCCAGTGCCTGAAAGTTTAGGTTAGATAACAAGGAGATGTAAAGAAACTGATCTAGATAAGTTAGTTTACATAGGCCTCGGAACCTGGCTTTTAATCATCTGCCCACAAATATGTTGACTCAAGGCCTTTGTCATTAAATCTACACTGAATAAATGCCCGCAGCACTGGCTTGTCAGGGCTGCAGCTGCTGACTCTTTACAGTACCCTCCTTGGTGTCTGTGGGTGGCCCAGTCCCGTAGCCCACTCTTTCACTAGATCCCTGTGTCTGAGTGCATTTGTTCATCCACTGTTCGGCCAGGGTCTGCGGGTTGGACCTGGCAGGTAAACAGAAATCTTAGTGCAACAACCCTCTCAGATGCTTTTGGAGAAAGCATGGAATTTGTTCCTGATCCAAAAATTCTACAGGACAATCATATATATCCAAATTAATCCTCTCAGTGCAGAGCTAGTCATCTAAGGGAATAAAAAAATCTGAGGTTTGACCATGGATCAGATTCCATCTTTCAGAGGCAGATGCTGTAGTGCAGACAAAGCCTTCTGATCCAAATGTTATCCTGGCATTGCAACATCTTTTTACTGGTTGGCTGAGTTCACAAAAGAAATAGTACTTGGAAAACAGCACATCTCAGCCTATTAATCAAAAACTGAAATTACAGTCATGCACTGCATAACAACATTTCGGTCAACAGCAGACCGCATATAAGACAGTGGCCGCATAAGATTATAATACTGTATTTTTTACCATACCTTTTCTATGTTTAGATATGCAAATGCTTACCATTGTGTTACAATGGCCTATAGTATTCAATACAGTAACATGTTGTTTAGGTTTATAGCCTAGGAGCTGTAGGCTATACCATATAGCTTAGGTGTATAGTAGGCTATATCATCTAGGTTTGTGTAAATGCACTCTATGATGTTCACACAATGATGAAATTGCCTAATGATGCATTTTCAGAATGTATTGCTGTCGTTAAACGATGCATGACTGTATTTCTGATGGCTTAGTTCAAAAATTCACTTTGCTTCTCAGGTAAGTTCCAGAATTAAAAACTAGCTATGGGCAAATGATTGATTTCTTCTGTTCCAGTTCAGTGAAGTGGCATAAGCGTGCTCCAGCTGTACTGATCCAGTTTGCTCTGATCAGCTATGGGTTTCCTATAAAACTCTTTTCATTATGTGAATCAAACAGGAACTCAATAACTGCAGCCACATAATAAGGTTATAATATAAGAAGTGAACAAATCTCATTCTAATTTGTATCCCATGTCTACCCCAGTGGAAGATGGAAAGCTCAAAACAAAAATATTCGTGTGTCCTGAAGATTTAGCATCCTAAACCTGGAAAGCACATTAAAAAGCCATTTAATGTAATAATTTCCAAATGCCAGTTCAGAAATTAATGCTGATCCCTGACATTGCTCTAAGAACCAACAAACAGAAGAATAGCATCAACATCAAAAAATAGGACCCCTCCCTCTCCCTCTCCCCTTTGCATGGTCCTCGTCTCCCCTTTGCACGGTCTCCCTCTAATGCCGAGCCGAGGCTGGACTATACTGCCGCCATCTCGGCTCACTGCAGCCTCCCTGCCTGATTCTCCTGCCTCAGCCTGCCGAGTGCCTGGGACTGCAGGTGCGCGCCGCCACACCTGACTGGTTTTCGTATTTTTTGGTGGAGACGGGGTTTCGCCGTGTTGGCTGGGCTGGTCTCCAGCTCCTGACCGCGAGTGGTCTGCCAGCCTCGGCCTCCTGAAGTGCTGGGATTGCAGACGGAGTCTCGCTCACTCAGTGCTCAATGTTGCCCAGGCTGGAGTGAGTGGCGTGATCTCGGATCGCTACAACCTCCACCTCCCAGCCACCTGCCTTGGCCTCCCAAAGTCCCAAGATTGCAGCCTCTGCCTGGCCGCCACCCCGTATAGGAAGTGAGGAGCGTCTCTGCCTGGCCGCCCATCGTCTGTGATGTGAGGAGCCCCTCTGCCTGGCCGCCCAGTCCGGGAAGTGAGGAGCGCCTCTTCCCGGCCACCACCCCGTCTAGGAAGTGAGGAGCGTCTCTGCCTGGCCACCCATCGTCTGGGATGTGAGGAGCCCCTCTGCCCGGCCGCCCAGTCTGGGAAGTGAGGAGTGCCTCTTCCTGGCCGTCATCCCGTCTAGGAAGTGAGGAGTGTCTCTGCCTGGCCGCCCATCATCTGGGATGTGGGGAGCACCTCTGCCCCGCCGCCCCATCTGAGATGTGAAGAGTGCCTCTGCCCGGCCATGATCCCGTCTGGGAACTGAGGAGTGTCTCTGCCCCGCCGCCACCCCGTCTGGGAGGTGAGGAGCATCTCTGACTGGCCGCCCTGTCTGAGAAGTGAGGAGCCCCTCCGCCCGGCAGCCGCCCCATCTGGGAAGTGGGGAGCCCCTCCGCCCGGCAGCCACCCCGTCTGGGAAGTGAGGAGCGTCTACGCCCGGCAGCCGCCCCGTCCAGGAGGTGGGGGGCAGCGCCCCCCTGGCCAGCCGCCCCGTCCGGGAGGTGGGGGGCAGCCCCCGCCCAGCCAGCCGCCCCGTCTGGGAGGTGGGGGCCAGCCCCCGCCCGGCCAGCCGCCCCGTCCGGGAGGTGGGGGGCCCCTCTGCCCGGCTGCCCCGTCTGGGAAGTGAGGAGCCCCTCTGCCTGGCCGCCGTCCCGTCTGGGAGGTGGGGGGGCCCCTCTGCCTGGCAGCCCCGTCTGGGAAGGGAGGAGCCCCTCTGCCCGGCCACCACCCCGTCTGGGAGGTGTACCCAACAGCTCATTGAGAACGGGCCATGATGACAATGGCGGTTTTGTTGAATAGAAAAGGGGGAAATGTGGGGAAAAGAAAGAGAGATCAGATTGTTATTGTGTCTGTGTAGAAAGAAGTAGACATAGGAGACTCCATTTTGTTCTGTACTAGGAAAAATTCTTCTGCCTTGGGATGCTGTTAATCTATAACCTTACCCCCAACCCCGTGCTCTCTGAAACATGTGCTGTGTCCACTAAGGGTTAAATGGATTAAGGGCGGTGCAAGATGTGCTTTGTTAAACAGATGCTTGAAGGCAGCATGCTCGTTAAGAGTCATCACCACTCCCTAATCTCAACTACCCAGGGACACAAACACTGCGGAAGGCGGCAGGGCCCTCTGCCTAGGAAAACCAGAGACCTTTGTTCACAAGTTTATCTGCTGACCTTCCCTCCACTATTGTCCTATGACCCTGCCAAATCCCCCTCTCCGAGAAACACCCACGAATGATCAATAAATACTAAAAAAAAAAAAAAAAAAAAAAAAAAAAAAATAGGAGGCCCACTCAGAGACCCCATCCGAAGGTCACCAACATCAAAGACCAAAGGTAGATAAATTCCACAAAGATGGGAAGAAACCAGCACAAAAAGGCTGAAAATTCCAAAAACCAAAACACCTCTTCTCCTCCAAAGGATCACAACTCCTTGCCAGCAAGGGAACAAAACTGGATGGAGAATGAGTTTGATGAATTGACAGAAGTAGGCTTCAGAAGGTGGGTAATAACAAACTCCTCTGAGTTAAAGGAGCACATTCTAACCCAATGCAAGGAAGCTAAGAACCTTGAAAAAAGGTTAGACAAATTGCTAACTAGAATAACCAGTTTAGAGAAGAACATAAATGACCTGATAGAGCTGAAAAACACAGCACAAGAACTTCGTGAAACATACACAAGTATCAATAGCCAAATCAATCAAGTGGAAGAAAGGATATCAGAGATTGAAGATCAACTGAATGAAATAAAGTGAGAAGACAAGATTGGAGAAAAAAGAATGAAAAAGAATGAACAAAGCCTCCAAGAAATATGGGACTACGTGAAAAGACCAAATCTACGTTTGATTGGTGTACCTGAAAGTGATGGGGAAAATGGAACCAAGATGGAAAATACTCTTCAGGATATTATCCAGGAGAACTTCCCCAACCTAGCAAGACAGGCCAACATTCAAATTCAGGAAATACAGATACCACCACAAAGATACTCCTCGAGAAGAGCAACCCCAAGACACAAAATCATCAGATTCACCAAGGTTGAAATGAAAGAAAAAATGTTAAGGGCAGCCAGAGAGAAAGGTCAGGTTACCCACAAAGGGAAGCCCATCAGACTAACAGTAGATCTCTCTGCAGAAACCCTACAAGCTAGAAGAGAGTGGAGGCCAATATTCAACATTCTTAAAGAAAAGAATTTTCAACCCAGAATTTCATATCCAGCCAAATTAAGCTTCATAAGTGAAGGATAAATAAAATCCTTTACAGACAAGCAAATTCTGAGAGATTTTGTCACCACCAGGCCTGCCTTACAAGAGCTCTTGAAGGAAGCACTAAACATGGAAAGGAACAACTGGTACCAGCCACTGCAAAAACATACCAAATTGTAGACCATCGACACTACGAAGAAACTGCTTCAACTAATGGGTAAAATAACCAGCTAGCATCATAATGACAGGATCAAATTCACACATGACAATATTAACCTTAAATGCAAATGGGCTAAATGCCCCAATTAAAAGACACAGACCGGCAAATTGGATAAAGAGTCAAGACCCATTGGTGTACTGTATTCAGGAGACCCATCTCACGTGCAGAGACACACATAGGCTCAAAATAAAGGGATGAAGGAATATTTACCAAGCAAATGCAAAGCCAAAAAAAATAAAGCAGGGGTTGCAATCCTAGTCTCTGATAAAACAGACTTTAAACCAAACCAACAAAGATCAAAAGAGATAAAGAAGGGCATTACATAATGGTAAAGGGATCAATGCAACAAGAAGAGCTAACTATCCTAAATATATATGCACCCAATACAGGAGCACCCAGACTCATAAAACAAGTTCTTAGGGACCTACAAAGAGATTTAGACTGCCACACAATAATGTGAGACTTTAATACCCCACTGTCGATATTAGATCAACGAGACAGAAAATTAACAAGGATATTCAGGACTTGAACTCAGCTCTAGACCAAGCGGACCTAATAGACATCTACAGAACTCTCTGCCCTAAATCAACAGAATATACATTCTTCTCAGCACCACATTGCATTTATTCTAAAATTGACCATATAATTGGAAATAAAACACTCCTCCACAAATGCAAAAGAACGGAAATCGTAACAAATAGTCTCTCAGACAACAGTGCAATCAAATTAGAACTCAGGATTAAGAAACTCACTCAGAATCGGCCGGGCACAGTGGCTCATGCCTGTAATCCCAACACTTTGGGAGGCTGAGGCGGGTAGATCACAAGGTCAGGAGATCGAGACCACCCTGGCTGACATGGTGAAAACTCCATCTCTACTAAAAATACAAAAAAAATTAGCTGGGGGTGGTGGCGGGCCCCTGTAGTACCAGCTACTTGGAAGGCTGAGGCAGGAGAATGACGTGAACCCGGGAGGCAGAGCTTGCAGTGAGCCGAGATTGCACCACTGTACTCCAGCCTGGGCGACAGAGCAAGACTCCGTCTCAAAAAAAAAAAAAAAAAAAAAAAAAAAGAAACTCACTCAAACCACACAACTACATGGAAACTGAACAACCTGCTCCTGAATGACTACTGGGTAAATAACGAAATTAAGGAAGCAATACGTAAGTTCTTTGAAACCAATGAGAACAAAGACACAACATACCAGAATCTTTGGGACACAGCCAAAGCAGTGTTTAGAGGGAAATTTATAGCACTAAATGCCCACAGGAGGAAGCAAGAAAAATTTAAATCAACACCCTAATATCACAATGAAAAGAACTAGAGAAGCAAGAGCAAACAAATTCAAAAGCTAGCAGAACACAAGAAATAACTAAGATCAGAGCAAAACTGACGGAGATAGAGACAGGAAAAACCCTTCAAAAAAATCAATGAATCCAGGACCTGATTTTTTGAAAAGATTAATAAAATAGATAGACCACTAGCCAGACTAACAAAGAAGAAGAGAAGAATCAAATAGACACAGTAAAAAATGATAAAGGGGATGTCACCACTGATCCCACAGAAATACAAACTACCATCAGAGAATACTATAAACACCTCTATGCAAATAAACTAGAAAACCTAGAAGAAATGGATAAATTCTTGGACACATACAACTTCCCAAGACTAAACCAGGAAGAAGGTGAATCCCTGAATAGACCAATAACAAGTTCTGAAATTTAGGCAGTAATTAATAGCCTACCAACCAGAAAAAGTCCAGGACCAGACAGATTCACAGACAAATTCTACCAGAGGTACAAAGGGGAGCTGGTACCATTTCTTCCGAAACTATTTCAAACAACAGAAAAAGAGAGAATCCTCCCTAACTCATTTTATGAGGCCAGCATCATCCTGATACCAAAAACCTGGCAGAGACACAACAAAAAAAGAAAAATTCAGGACAATATCCCTGATGAACATCGATGCGAAAATCCTCAACAAAATATGTCAAACTGAATCCAGCAGCACATTAAAAAGATTATCCACCATGATCAAGTTGGCTTCATCCCTGGGATGCAAGGCTGGATCAACAAATGCAAATCAATAAACGTAACCCATCACATAAACAGAACCAATGGCAAACACCACATGATTAATAGATGCAGAAAAGGACTTTGACAAAATTCTACATCCCTTCATGCTAAAAACTCTCAATAAACTATGTATTGATGGAACATATCTCAAAATAATAAGAGCTATTTATGACAAACCCACAGCCAATATCATACTGAATGGGCAAAAACTGGAAGCATTCCCTTTGAAAACTGGCACAAGACAAGGATGCCCTCTCTCACCACTCCTATTCAACATAGTATTGGAAGTTCTGGTCAGGGCAATCAGGCAAGAGAAAGAAATAAAGCATATTCAAATAGGAAAAGAGGAGGTCTAATTGTCTCTGTTTGCAGATGACATGATTGTATATTTAGAAAACCCCATTGTCTCAGCCCAAAATCTCCTTAAGCTGATAAGCAACTTAAGCAAAGTCTCAGGATACAAAATCAATGTGCAAAAATCACAAGCATTCCTATACACCAACAGCAGACAGAGAGCCAAAGCATGAGTGAACTCCCATTCACAATTGCTACAAAAGGAATTAAATACCTAGGAATACAACTTCCAAGGGATGTGAAGGACCTCTTCAAGAAGAACTACAAACTGCTGCTGAAGGAAATAAGAGAGGACACAAATAAATGGAAAAACATTCCATGTTCATGGATAGGAAGAATCAATATCATGAAAATGGCCATACTGCCCAAAGTAATTATAGATTCAATGCTATCCCCATCAAGCTACCACTGACTTTCTTCACAAAATTAGAAAAAACTACTTTAAATTTCATATGGAACCAAAAAAGGCCCACATAGCCAAGACAATCCTAAACAAAAAGAACAAAGCTGGAGGCATCATGCCACCTGACTTCAAACTATACTACAAAGCTACAGTAACAAAAACAGCATGGTACTGGTACCAAAACAGATATATAGATCAATGGAACAGAACAGAGGCCTCAGAAATAACACCACACATCTACAACCATCTGATCTTTGACAAACCTGACAAAAACAAGCAATGGGGAAAGGATTGCCTATTTAATAAATGGCGTTGGAAAAACTGGCTAGCCATGTGCAGAAAACTGAAACTGGACCCGTTCCTTACACCTTATACAAAAATTAACTCAAGATGGATTAAAGACTTAAACATAAGACTTAAAACCATAAAAACCCTAGAAGAAAACCTAGGCAATACCATTCAGGACATAGGCATGGGCAAAGACATCATGACTAAAACACCAAAATCAATGGCAACAAAAGCCAAAATTGACAAATGGGATCTAATTAAACTAAAGAGCTTCTGCACAGCAAAAGAAACTATCATCAAAGTGAACAGGCAGCCTATAGAATGGGAGAAAATTTTTGCAATCTATCCATCTGACAAAGGGCTAATATCCACGATCTACAAAGAACTTAAACAAATTTATAAGAACAAAACAACTCCATCAAAAAGTGGGCAAAGGATATGAACAGACACTTCTCAAAAGAAGACATTATGCAGCCAACAAACATATGAAAAAAAGCTCATCATCACTGGTCATTAGAGAAATGCAAATCAAAACCACAATGAGATACCATCTCACCCCAGTTAGAATGGGGATCATTAAAAAGTCAGGAAACAACAGATACTGGAGAGGATGTGGAGAAATAGGAACAGAAATAGAAATGCTTTTACACTGTTGGTGGGAGTGTAAATTAGTTCAACCATTGTGGAAGACGGTGTGGCAATTCCTCAAGGACCTAGAACCAGAAATACCATTTGACCCAGCAATCCCATTACTGGGTATATACCCAAAGGATTAGAAATCATTCTACTATAAAGACATATGCCCATGTATGTTTATTGTGGCACTATTCACAATAGCAAAGCCTTGGAACCAACCCAAATGCCCGTCAATGATAGACTGGATAAAGAAAATGTGGCTCATATACACTATGGAACACTATGCAGCTATAAAAAGGGATGAGTTTATGTCCTTTGCAGGGACATGGATGAAGCTGGAAACCATCATTCCCAGCAACTAACACAAGAACAGAAAACCAAACACCACATGTTCTCACTCATAAGTGGGACAATGAGAACACATGGACACAGGGAGGGGAACATCACACACCAGGGCCTGTCAGGGGGTTGGGGGCTAGGGGAGGGATAGCATTAGGAGAAATACCTAATGGAGATGATGGGTAGATGGGTGCAGCAAACCACCATGGCACATGTATACCTATGTAACAAACCTGCACGTCCTGCACACATACGCCAGAACTTAAAGTATTTTTTTTAAAAAAAGAAATGCTGAGGAAAATAGAGGCAATGAAATTAGTTTTTCATATGATTAAATTTACTAATTTAAAGAACCACCAATTCTTCTGATATTATTTTTTTGCCAAGTTTTTTGTCTCAAATGTTATTTCTTTTATGAAAGTAGATGGTAGTTATGGTAGTTGTTTTTAAATGTTCTTCAGTTAGCAAAATATAAACTCGGCAACATTAAAACAACTCCCGTTTTTTTTTTCTTTTTAGTTTTTCTCATTTCTAAAATTCTGAAGTCTGGGACCCACTGAACTACTTCTCTACTATATCACCTGAATTTCAGGTTAAAAAAAAAAAAAAAAAGTAAAGGCTGGGTGCGGTGGCTCATGCCTGTAATCCCAGCACTTTGGGAGGCTGAGGTGGGCGGATCACAAGGTCAAGAGATCAAGACCATCCTGGCCAACATGGTGAAACCCCATCTCTACTAACAATACAAAAATTAGCTGGGCTTGGTAGTGGCGCATGCCTGTAGTCCCAGCTACTTGGGAGGCTGAGGCAGGAGAATCACTTGAACCCGGGAGATGGAGGTTGCAGTGAGCTGAGATCACACCAATGCACTCCAGCCTGGCAACAGACAGAGACTCCATCTCAAAAAAAAAAAAAAAAAGTAAATCAGTTTCACACAGATGACATTATGAACATTTGTGATAAGGAAACACCAAAGTGACTCTAAGAATTTATTCTCATCAACAATCCTCAAGGTTTCTACACGAACCAAATTTTTTTTCCTGCTACTTCTTAAGCCCATTCTCTTAAGTCTGCTCCAGTGAAAATGATTAATTAATAACTGCTAACCGTATTCCAAAGTGTGGCAACAGTTTACAATAAGGACAAAGATTTATTTTCTTTTCTTTTGAGGCAGGGTCTTGCTATGTTACCCAGGCTGAAGTGTAGTAGTGTGATCGCAACTCACTGTAGCCGCGACCTCCTAGGTGCAAGTGATCCTCTCACTTCAGCCTCCTGAGTAGCTGGGACCACAGGTGCGCACCACCATGCCCAGCTAATTTAAAAAAAATTTTTTTGTAGAGACAGGGCTCTCAATATGTCACCCAGGCTGGTCTCAAACTCCTGGACTCAAGCGATCCTCCCACCTCAGCCTCTCAAAGTGCTGAGATTACAGGCATGAAGCCACCATGCCCAGGTAAAGAGCAAAGAGTTTTTCTAAAAGGTTTTTTCTGTTCAAAGACTGGAACTAGAAATCTAGATTCAGAAACCTGAATATATTGTTTGTTTAAATCAGGTGACTGGTTTTCTTTCTTTACTGTGACTCTCCAAAAGTCTAGGACCTCTTCATCGGCTTGTATAAATAAGGGAAGGCCCCAGCTCCTCCTACCCCCATTTTTTTTTCCTCAAGAGCCAGCTAGAGAGTAATTTTGAAAAGCAGAGATATTTTATCTAAACTGATCAAATTATAGAAGTAGGAGAAAGGAAAGAAAGGTGAACTTTTACTTTTCAGTTGTATATCCCTCTTTGATATTTTAACTTACATAGTGAACAACACACCAAATTTTTTAATACAGAAAAAATAAAAATCATCCATTTATAAGGAGAGTACATATTTCTGTCTTGGTCTCCAGATCTTTAAAGAGTATTAAACTAGCTACCAGAATGCTCCATTAACATGGAAAGAGAGGAAAGAGTCAGGTTTGGGTTTTTCATTGGAATAACAAAATAAGCAATTACAACATCTAATTCCCAGCTCTAAAGTGGAAGGAAATAGGAAGTATTTTTAAACAGTTCTTACCAACTGGGTGCAAAGGTGAAAATTAGGCCATAAAGATACATTTAAGGAGGCCAGGTGCAGTGGCTCACACCTGTAATCCCAGCACTTTGGGAGGCCCAAGCGGTGAATCACTTGAGGTCAGGCATTCAGGACCAGCCTGGCAAACATGGCGAAACCCCGTCTCCCCTAAAAAAAAAAATACAAAAATTAGCCTTAGCCAGGCATGGTGGCGTATGCCTGTAGTCCCAGGTACTCTGGAGGCTGAGGCAGGAAACTCACTTGAACTTGGGAGGCGGAGGTTGCAATGAGCTGAGATCATGCCACTGCACTCCAGCCTGGGTGAAGGAGTGAGACTTTGTCTCAATAAATAAATAAATAAACAACAACAAAAAATTAAGATAAAGATCCATTTAAAACATTCTCATCCTCATTTGTTTAAGAAGAAATTTGAGGCCAGGCACGGTGGCTCATGCCTGTAATCCCAGCACTTTGGGAGGCTGAGGCGGCTGATCACCTGAGGTCAGGAGTTTGAGACCAGTCTGGCCAACGTGGCAAAACCCTATCTCCACTAAAAGTACAAAAATTAGCCAGGTGTGATGGTGTGCACCTGCAATCCCAGCTACTTGGGAGGCTGAGGCAGAAGAATTGCTTGAACCTAGAAGGCAGAGGTTGCAGTGAGCAGAGATTGCACCACTGCACTCCAGCCTGGGCAACAGAGCAAGACTCCATCTCAAAAAAAAACAAAGAAGAAATTTAGCTGTGGTACCAGACTTAAGGTGATCTCGTCAACTACTTAAAAACTACTATAGGAAATTCTGATTCTGTAAAACTGATGCCTGAGTGTACTGTCAACTTAGATAGGTCAACAGTAATAGGAAAATCAGAAAATTAATACAGTCTAGACAAGAAAATGTTTTCCTAAGGTTTGTGGAAAATTATATTTAAGCCAAACTTGGAATAGTTTCAGGATTTGGAACTACTCAGTTTTTAAAAGAGAATTGCCAGTTTCTTAGCATCATAACTCGTAAAAGAGGTGTTAGACCACATAAAATGGGGCTATGGTTTGGTACTGACCCAGATCTCCTAACCTGTTGTTCAGGGCACTTCTTACTATTTCTCTTCTGATGGCTTATACAGTTGGAGTATATTTTCTCTTCTCATAGCCTCTCTTGGGCTTGCAAACTAAGAGTGCTCCAGCTGTACTGAGCCATTTCTCCTCCATGACCAGCTCTAAGTTTCCTACATCTAGTCAAAAGATCTAGGACATTTCCAAACCAATTTTGGGAGAAAGAGGCTCTAATGCCTTAACAGACCAGCTTGGTCAGCCTATCTTGTCAGACAGAAGCTTATTCCTAATCAAACAGATCTCTCCATAGGAAACTGTCTGAAGCCTTTCCAAACTATGCAATAAACTGGATCCACTTTCAAGACTAGGAAGAAACAATCACTATTGGTATAGTGCTTAGTTTAATGATCTTGATTCCCTTGCTCAGAGAAATCCATAAAAACACCATACACTCATAGAGAACCTTTAATTTTACAAAACATGTGTGCAGACATCTTATTTAACACTTTAAATCTGATGTAGATTAGAATGGCAATGATTTTCATTTTTAGAAAAAAAATTGATAAATATAAAAACAACTTCCTCGAAATCATACAGATTCTTAATAACAAAACTAAAATGAGAATCTAGGTCTCCTAAGTCTAGCTGTAGTACTTTCTTTACCATTGCTCTCCTAAAGTTGAATAAATGGACAAGTTGCACTATTTCATTTGAATTGTGGACCTCAATTTAAAGAAGGGAGCCAAGTAAAATAGTGTATTTTTTTCCTCCAACCTGGCAGGCTTATCAGAAGAAAAGACAATAAGGAATACTGAAACTTTTACTTAAGTCTGGAAGCACCTGGATTTTTTTTTCTAAAGAATAATTTAGATATATATTATAAGTTATTTAAATAATATGATCTCTGAGGCCTCCCAATTTCCCTGAATATCCAAAAGTTGAAATATTTTTAGCATATTATCTGTCCCTGAGTTTTAGTATAAAATTTGCACCTAACAACTATAATAATAAACACTTGATATCACAGTAATGACACAATGATACAAGCCCTAATGATCCCTACATAGGTGGGGAAAAAAATACACTTTAAAAAAACAAACTGGGACTTCCACTTCTGGCCAAGATGGAGTGACAGAACTGTATTTACTCTCCTAGCAAGCAAACGAAAATTAGATAAAACATCTGAAACAATGGTTTTCAAGACACCAGACATCAGACAACAAAGGGCAATAATCTCAGGGAGAAGAGAAATGAATAAAGTGAACTCTTTAACTGCCCTATCTTACCTCCTAGAAAAAGTTTTTATGCCACAGCACAGGAAATGGAAACTGAGGGAGGCCTTGTGAACTCCCTGCATTGAGGAGACAGAACTGAGAGTCCAAGGAGACCAAGGTAGCTAGAATTCATTGGAAAGGGTGCTGAAGAAAAACAAACAAACAAACAAAAGGCTTCACAGAGAACCTCATAGATTTGCAGAGGATTTGCAAGATCTACTGACTGGCGCATGTGTCTAAATAAACGTCTCAAAGCTGAAGAAAGAACCATTGAAAAGATTAGATAGAACAGTATCTAGAGTCCACATGGTGCCAACAATAGTGCCTGTTCTCACCACCAAGACTAGAAAAACTGATAATTCAACAAGGTATATGGGGTAGAGTACTCAGGAAGGTCTTGCCTCATTAGTGAGAAATAATTATCCTGAGAATGAGCATCATTCCATACCCACCTAACAAATTATAAAAGCAAGACCTGAATGATTCAAACTATTTCCAAGTAATTTAACTGCATCCAAGAATACAATTCAAGAATAGTTATGGTAATACAGAAATATCTAGCACCCAAGAAGATAAAATTTGAAATGTCTGGCATTCAGTAGAAGATTACCAGTCATACAAAGAAAAAGGAAAACATGACCTATACTAAGGAGAATACTAAATCAACTGAAACCTACCCAGGACTGAAACAGATATTAGAACTAGAAGTAAAGGACAATAAAATAGTCATCATAACTACATTCTATCTTTTCAGTAAGTTGAGACATTGGAGAAATATTTTTTAAAAACATCTATATTAGGCCAAGTGCAATGGCTCATGCCTGTAATCCCAGCTTTGGGAGGCTGAGGCAGGTGGATCACCTGAGGTCAGGAGTTCTAGACTAGCCTGACCAATATGGTGAAACCCCGTCTCTACTAAAAATTCAAAAATTAGCCGGGGGTGGTGGCGGGCACCTGTAATCGCAGCTACTCAGGAGACTGAGACAGGAGAATCGCTTCAACTCGGGAGGCGGAGGTTGCAGTGAGCCCACGTCGTGTCACTGCACTCCAACCTGGGCAACAGAGCGAGACTCTATCTCAAAAAAAAAAAAAAAAAAAAAGAAAAGAAAAGAAAAAAAAGAAAATGGCCAGGCGCGGTGGCTCACGCCTGTAATCCCAGCACTTTGGGAGGCCACGGCGGGTGGATCACCTGGGGTCGGGAGCTCAAGACCAGCCTGACCAACGTGGAGAAATCCCGTCTCTACTAAAAATATAAAATTAGCCGGGCACGGTGGTGCATGCCTGTAATCCCAGCTACTCGGGAGGCTGAGGCAGGAGAATCGTTTGAACCTGGGAGGTGGAGGTTGTGGTGAGCTAAGATTGCACCATTGCACTCCAGGCTGGGCAACAAGAGCGACGCTCCATCTCAAAAAAAAAAAAAAAAAATCTACATTAAACTGCTAGAGGCAAAAACTACAGTGCAACTATAATGGATGAGTTTTTTTGTTTATTTATTTTTTTTTTTTGAGATACACTCTGTTGCCCAGGCTGGAGCGCAGTGGAGCGATCTTGGCTCACAACCATCTCCGTCTCCTGGGTTCCAGTGATTCTCCTGCCTCAGCCTCCCGAATAGGTGGGACTACCTGGGCACACCACAGGTGTGCACCATCATACCCGGCTAATTTTTCTGTTGTTTTTTTTTTGAAATGGAGTCTCGCTCTTTCGCCCAGGCGGGACTGCAATGGTGCTATCTTGGCTCACTGCAAGCTCCGCCTCCCGGGTTCACGCCATTCTCCTGCCTCAGCCTCCCGAGTAGCTGGGACTACAAGTGCCCGCCACTGCGCCCGGCTAAATTTTTTTGTATTTTAGTAGAGACGGGGTTTCTCCATGTTGGCTAGGCTGGTCTCAAACTGCTGACCTCAAGTGATCCACCCACCTCAGCCTCTCAAAGTGCGGGGATTACAGGTGTGAGCCACTGCGCCTGGCCTGAGATTTTTTTTAAATCTCTAAATGAGATTAAGGACAGATAAGACATTGCAGAAGAAAAATTAATGAACTTCAAAGTGTAGCAATAGAAAATATCCAAATGGTAGGCTGGATGTGGTGGCTCATGCCTGTAATCCTAGCACTTTGGGAGGCCAGGGCAGGCAGATCACTTGAGGTCAGGAGTTCAAGACCAGCCTGGCCAACATGGTGAAACCCCATCTCTATAAAAATAGAAAAATTAGCTGGGCTTGTAATCCTAGATACTTGGGAGGTGCCTGTAATCCTAGATACTTGGGAGGCTGAGGCATAAGAATCACTTGAACCTGGGAGGCAGAAGTTGCAGTAAGCCAAGATCATGCCATGCCACTACCCTACACCCTGGGTGACAGAGCATGACTCCATCTCCAAAAAAAAAAAAAGAAAGAAAAGAAAATCTCCAAAATGGAAAACATGGGGGAAAAAAGCATGCAAAACTGCAAAGACTATTGGTGAACTGTGAGAAATCCTAATACCTGGGTAATAAAAGGCCTGAAAGCAGTTTAGGTGGTAGGAATGAGAAAAATATTTCTTCAAATATTTGAAGAAATAGTGGCCCCAAGCTTTCCAAATCTTATGAAGACAATAAACCAATAGATTCAAAAACCCAATGAATCAAAAGAACAAGAAATATAAAGAAAATAGCATTAAGGCACTTCATAATCAAATGGGTTTTTTTTTTTTTTTTTTGAGACGGAGTCTCGCTCTGTCACCCAGGCTGGAGTGCAATGGCGTGATCTCAGCTCACTGCAACCTCTGCCTTCTGGGTTTACACCATTCTCCTGCCTCAGCCTCCTGAGTAGCTGGGACTACAGGCACCTGCCACCATGCCCAGCTAATTTTTTTGTATTTTTTAGTGGAGATGGGGTTTCACCGTGTTAGCCAGGATGGTCTCAATCTGCTGACCTCGTGATCCGCCCGCCCACCTTGGCCTCCCAAAGTGCTGGGATTACAGGCGTGAGCCACCATGCCCAGCCCAAATGGTTCATTTTTTAAGAAAAAAACATAAAAGCAACCAGAGAGAAAAACAACATGTTACGTACAGAGGAATAACGATAAGAATAATATCAGATTTCTTGTTGAAAACAATGCAAGCAAAAAGTGCAGTAACATGTTTAAAATACTGAACTTCTGTCAACCTCGAATTCTATACCTAGCAAATATACTTTCAAAAACAAAGGTGCAGTAAAAACATTTTCAGACACATGAAACCAGACTCACCCTACAAGAAATGTTAAAGGGTGACATTTAGGCAGATGAAATATAATATTGATTGGAAATCAGGGATCTACACAAAAAAATGAAGAGCACCAGAAATGGTAAATATAAAGTATGTTTTTTTCTTACTACTTAAATACCATTAATAATAAACTATTTAGGCAAAAATAATAACAATGGATTGTGGGTTTTAAAACATGGAAAAGAAAAATGCATGACAACAATAGCATAAAGATTGGGAGAAGAGAAATGAAAGTACACTATTGTAAGATTCTTATCCTATATGTGAAGTGGCATAATATCACTTAAAGTTTAACTGCAATGTTAAAATGTACGCTGTAAACCCTGTAACACAACCAGTAACTTAAAAAAAAAAAAACTAAAAAATTTTAGTTAATAAGCCAACAAAAAAGACAATATGTAATAACAAAATGTAGTAGATTAATCCAAAAAAGGCAGAATTGAAGGAAAAGGGAACAAAAAACAGATGTAACAAATAGAAAACAAACAGCAAAATGTTAGATTCAAGTGTAATTATATAATCAAATTAAATGTAAGGTATTAAAGATTGTCAGACTGGAATAGTAAGACCTAACTAAATATTTACCACAAGAAGTGTACTTTATACATAAAACACAAACAAATTAAAATTAAAAAAATAGGTGGGCTCAGTGGCTCATGCCTGTAATCCCAGCACTTTGAAAGGCTCACTTGTGTAAGGATTGCTTGAGGCCAAGAATCTGAGACAAGCTTGGGCAACACAGTGAAACCCCATCTCTACAAAAAAAATATTTTAATTAGCCAGGTATGGTGGTTTTTGTAGTCCTACCAACTTAAGGAAGCTGAGGTTGGAGGATTGCTTGAGCCCAGGAGTTTGAGGTCATGTGAGCTATTATCATGCCACTACACTCCAGCCTAGGTGACAGAATGACACCCTATCTGTGAAAAAAAAAAAAAAAAAAAACCCACCAAAAACAAAAAAACAAAACCCAACTCTTCCTCTGAAGCAGGCTAGAGAAAAAATAAAGATATTAAAATATATACCATGGCAATAGTAATCAAAAGAAAGCTGAAATGGCTATATAAGTAACAGAAAATGTAGACTTCAAAATGAAGAAGGCCATTTCATAATAATGGTGTCACTTAATCAAGAGGTCATAAAAATACTAACTGTTTATGTACCTAATAAAAGAGATTCAAAATACATGAAGCAAAATAGAACTACAAAGAGAAATATACAAATCCACAATTATAGTCAGATATCAATACTCCTCACTCACTAATGAATAAAATAAATAGAAAATTAGCAAAGATTTAGTAAACTTAAACAATACTATCAACCAACTTGACAGAATTGATATTTATAGAATATTCCAGCCAACAACAGCAGAATGTAATTTTTCTTTCAAATGCATACAGAACATCTACCAAGATGGAACATATTCTAGACCATAAAATAAGTCTTGCCGGGTGTGGTGGCTCATGCCTATAATCCCAGCACTTTGGGAAGCCAAGACGGGCAAATCACTTGAGATCAGGAGTTCAAGACCACCCTAGCCAAAATGGTGAAACCCCGTCTCTACTAAAAATACAAAAATTAGCCAGGTGTGGTGGCGTGTGCCTATAATCCCAGCTACTCGGGAGGCTGAGGTAGAATTGCTGCAACCCAGGAGGAGGAGGTTGCAGTGAGCTGAGATCGCTCCATTGCACTGTAGCCTGGGTGACAAGAGCAAGACTCTGTCTCAAAAAGAAACAAAACAAAAAAAACACGCCAAGGCAGATGGATCACGAAGTCAGGAGATCGAGTTCATCCTGGCCAACATGGTGAAACCCCATCTCTACTAAAAATACAAAAATTAGCCAGGCGTGGTGGCACGCTCCTGTAGTCCCAGCTACTCAGGAGGCTGAGGCAGGAGAATTGCTTGAACCCAGGAGGTGGAGGCTGCAGTGAGCTGAGATTGCACCACTGCACTCCAGTCTGGCCGATAGGGTGGGACTCTGTCTCAAAAAAACAAAAAATAAATTAAAAAACAAGTCAATAATTTCAAAAGCACTCAAATCACACAATGAAATTAAATTACATTATCAATAACAGCATGATCCACAGAAAATCCCCAAATATTTGGAAACTAAATTATACACTTCTAAATAACTAAACAATTCATGGATTAAAGATCAAAAGAACAATTAGAAAGTATTTTAACTGAAGAAAAATTTTAAAACAACATATTAGAATTTACGGGATATACCAGCTACCATGGCACATGCCCATATTCCAGCTACTCAGCAGGATCACTTGAGTCCAGGAGTGTGAGTCCAGCCTAGGCAACATAAACAAGACTCCATCTCTAAAAATATACGTAAGTAAAGAGAATTTACGAGATGCTACTAAAGCAGTAATTAGGTAGCAATTTGTAGCATTAAATGCTTATATTAGAAATATCTCAAATCAATGACATCAACTTCCATTTTAAGAAAGAGCAAATTAAACCCATAGTAAAAATACAGGAAATAATGAAGATCAAAGCGGAAATCAAGGCCAGAAGTGGTGGCTCCCACCTGTAATCCCAGCACTTTGGGAGGCCGAGGCTGGAGATCACTTGAGTCCAGGAGTTTGAGACCAGCCTGGCCAACATATAAAATTAGCCAGGTGTGGTGGCACACACCTGCAATCCCAGCTACTTGGGTGGCTGAGGCAGGAGAATCACTTGAACCCAGGAGGTGGAGGTTGCAGATCGTGGCCTGCACTCCAAGCTGGGCAACAAAAGCGAGACTTTGTCAAAAAAACCCAAAAAAACAAAAAAACAAAAAATCCTACAGTATATAAAAATAATACATCACAACTAAGTGGGGTTTATCTCAGGCCTACAGAGTTGTTTCAACATTCAAAAGTAAATCAATTTAAATCATCCTATTAAAATACTAAAAAAATAAAAACCAGTGATCATCTAAATAGGTACAGAAAATAGCATTTGGAAAAATATAACATCCATTCTCAATTTTAAAAACAGAGAAAAAAAAAAACTCTCACCAAACTAGAAAAATTTCCTCAACTTGATTAAGGATATTTATGAAAAATCTATGGCTAGCATTACACTTAAGGTGAAAGATGGAATGCTTTCCTTCTAAAATCAGGAAAAAGACAGGACTGTCCACTTTCACCACTTTTATTCAACATTGTACTGGAGGTTCTAGTCACTGCAATCAGGCAGGGGAAAGAAAGAAATAGGCCAGGAGCAGTGGCTCATGCCTGTAATTCTAACACTTTGGGAGGCCGGGGTGGGCGGATCATTTGAGGTTTGAGGTCAGGAGTTCGAGACCAGCCTGGCCAACATGGTAAAACCCTGTCTCTACTAAAAATACAAAAAAACAAAAATTAGCTGGGCGTGGTGGTGCACGCCTATAATCCCACCTACTAGGGAGGCTGAGGTGGGAGAATCACTTGAACCTAGAAGAAGGCTGCAGTGAGCCGAGATCGCACCGCTGCACTCCAGCCTAGGCGACAGAGTGAGACTCTGTCGCAAAAAAAAAAAAAAGAAAAGAAAAGAAATAAAAGGCATCCAGAACTGGAAAGGAAAAAGTAACATTTTTATTTGTAGACAACATGATCATCCATGTAGAAAAGCCAATGATGTCTACAAAAGAGCTATTCAAACTAATGAATGACTTTAGCAAGGTTGCAGGATACAAGACCAATATATAAAAATGTATTTTATTTCTATATAATAATAAACAATTGGAATTTGAAATTTAAAAAATGTTATTTCAATAGCATAAAAAATATCAAATTCTTAGAGATAAATATGACAAAGGATGTGAAAGACCTATATACTTGAAAACTACAAAATATTGCAGAGAGATACTGAAGAAGACCTAAGCAATTTGCCAAACATACCTTGTTCATGGGTCAGAAGACTAAATATTGTAAAGATGTCACATCTCTCCAAATTGATATACAGATTCAATAAAATCCCAATTAAAATCTCAGCAGACATTTCTGTAGGAACTGACAAGCGATATCTGTTTTTTTGAGACAGAGTCTTGCTCTCCTACCCAGGCTGGAGTGCAGTGGCACGATCAGGGTTCACTGTAGCCTCAACCTCCTGGGCTTATGCAATCCTCCCACCTCAGTCAGCCTCTTGAGTAGCTGGGACCACAGGCATGTGCCTGCAAGCCCAGCTTATATATACAAACATTTTTTTTTGTAGAGACAGGGTCTCCCTAGGTTATTCAGTCTGATCTTGAACTCGTGGGCTCAAGCAGTCCTCCTGCCTCAGCCTCCCAAAGTACTGGGATTACAGGCATGAGCCACAGCCCCTGGCTAACAAGCATATTCTAGAATTCATATGAAAAAGGTAAAGAACATAGAAGAGCCAAATCAACTCTGATAAGAAGAACACAATTGGAGAGCTAATACTGCCTAATTTCAAGAAACGGTTTACAGCTAAAATAATCAAAATACCATGTTAGGGACTTCTGGTTTCAGTTCCAATGAGCAAAGAGCTTAGAAGTCACCACTCCTATCCTTATAGCAAGAAAAAAGCCAAATAGACTTGCCTTCCAGAGAAACTACTTCATCAGAGCCTTATCTGACATGGGGGAAGGACAATTAGTCAACTTCGGCCCCTCTAGCCTTCTTGTCTGATGTAAAGGGATACTTTAAAAAAAAAACACTGAGAAAAAGTTCTGAAGGTCACAGCCCAAGAGCTCAGGCCCACAAAAATAAATGCTTAAGATTTAATTATAAGATTATAGAATGCTTCCCCTCTCCAACACCTTACCATCACGTCAAAGGGGCTTCAGTGTAATTATAACTGAGAGAGGTTCAAACCATCAACTCCATTTAAGAAGTTTTTTTGTTTTGTTTTGTTTTTGTTTTTGTTTTTGAGATGGAGTCTTGCTCTGTCACCTAGGCTGGAGTGCTGGAGTGCAGTGGTGCGATCTTGGCTCACTGCAACCTCCGCCTCCTGGGTTCAAGGGATTCTCCTGTCTCAGCCTCCTGAGTAGCTGGGATTACAGGCGCACACCACAATGCCCAGCTAATTTTGTACTTTTAGTAGAGATAGGGTTTCACCATGTTGGTCAGGATGGTCTCGAACTCCTGACCTTGTAATCTGCCCGAGAAACCCACAGACAATGGGGTAAGGGAGGGAACCCAGTAAATTGTAGGAAACTGAGGCCTCTGGCACCAAAAGCTATAGCATACATTAAATACAGCCCAGCTCCTGGTCATATAAACATAAAACCTGAGGCAGGAGAATCGCTTGAAACCGGAAGGCGGAGGTTGCAGTGAGCCGAGATTGCGCCACTGCACTCTAGCCTGGGCAACAAGAGCAAAATTGTCTTAAACAAAACAAAGCAAAACAAAACAAAACATAAAACCTTACATTAAAAATCTAATTACCTCAGTTCCTATTACCTAATACCTCACAACTTTCAACAAAAAATTACAGGGCACGTAAAGGCAAGAAAAACAAACACAGTCTGACAAGACAAGCATTAGACCAGTTTCAGCTATGAATCAGATTTTGAAATTATTAGATAGGGAATCTAAAACAATAACAATTAATATGTTAAGGGCTCTGATGGAAAAAACAGACAACATGTAAGAACAGATAGTTAATGTAAAAATGGAAACTCTTAAAAAGAATCAAAAGGAAACATTAAACGTCAAAAATACTGTAATAGACATAAAGAAAGGGCACATCAATTAACTGAATACAGCCATGAATGTAATCATCAGTAAGCTTTATAATATGTAAATAGAAACTTCCCAAAATAAAATGCAAAGAAAAAAAGAATTAGGAACAGAATGTCAAAAGGAACAGAACAACAGTGGAACAGTTATAAAAGGTGTAACATAGGTATAATGGAATTACCAGAGGGAGAAGAAAGAGCAAAAGAAACATAAGAAATATCTGAAGTAATAATGACTCAGGATTTTTCAAAATTAATGACAGACACCAAATCACATATGCAGGAAGCTTACAGAACATCAAGCAAGATAAAAACCAAAAAATCTGCACCTAGAAATATCATATTCAAACTGCAGAAAACCAAAGACAAAGAGAAAAATCTAGAAAGAAACCAGTTTTAAAACCACTTTTTTTAGAGAAACAGGGATAAGAATTATACTGTACTTCTTGTCAAACTACATAAACAAGAAGAAAGTACAGTGAAATATTTAAACTGTTGAAAGAAAGAACCACTAACCTAGAATTCTGTTTCCAGTATCCAGTAAAATTATTCTATAAAAATGAAGGAGAGACAGTTGCACATTGTTAATGTGCTAAATGCCACTGAATTGTACACTTTAAAACGGTTAGTTTTATGTTATGTGAATTTCACCCTAATAAAATAAGTGAAGGAGAAATTCAGACAAACAAAAACTATCACCAAGTAGACCTATTTTCCTAGAAAAGTTAAAGAAGTTCTTCAGAAAGAATGAAAATTGTGTATGTCAGTAAATTCGGATCTACATAAAGAAAAAAAATCAGAGAAGGAATAAATAAAGCTCAAATAAAATATTTCATTTTTCTTAGCTGACATAATAGTAATAATAGAAAAAATGTATTGAGTGATTATATCATAAGGGTAAGTAAAATAAACAACAGCAATATTATAAGAGACAGGAAAGAACAACTAGGAATACTCTGTTACAAGGTACCTGCACTACCCATGAAACAATATAGTATTATTTGAAAGTAAACTTAGATTAGTAAATGTGTAAGACAAACTCTTGGGGAGTAACTAAAAACTATACTTAAAAATTAAGTATAATTGATATGCTAAGAAAAGAGAGAAGACAGAATAATTTTTAAAATGCTCAAAACCAGAAAAAGAAAAAAAGAGGAAGATAAAGAACAGATACAACAAATAGGAAACAGATATTAATCCAACTATATCAATAATTGCTTTCAATATGATCTAAATAAACCCATAAAAACATAGTGACTGTTAGAGTAGATTAAAAAAAAAAAAAAGGCCCAGCTAGCGCGGTGGCTCACGCCTGTAATCCCAGCACTTTGGGAGGCCGAGGTGGGCAGATCACGAGGTCAGGAGTTCGAGACCAGCCTGACCAACATGGTAAAACCCTGTCTCTACTAAAAATACAAAAAGTTAGCCAGGCATGGTGGTGCATGCCTGTAATCCCAGCTACTCAGGAGGCTGAGGCAGGAGAATCGCTTGAACCTGGGAGGCGGAGGTTGCAGTGAGCCAAGATCACAGCACTGCACTTCTGGGCGACAGAGTGAGACTTCATTTCAAAAAAAAGAAAAAAAAAGGCCCATCTATATGTTGTCTACAAAAAACTCACTTTAATATAAAGTCACAGATAAAGAGGATGTACAGAGATATACCACATGTTATGGACTGAATGTTTGTGTCCCTCAAAATTCATATGTTGAAATCCTAACCCCAAAGGTGAGGCATTTAGAAGGTGGGGCCTTTGGGAGGCAATTAGCTCCTAAGGGTGGAGGCTTCACAAATGAGATTAGTGCCCTTATAAAAAGACATGAGAGGGCTTGCTCTCTGTCTCTTGTCTCCACTATGTTTGGATACAACAAGAAAATAGCCATCTGCAAACCAGGAAGTGGGCTCTTACCAGACACCAGATCTGCTGATTATCTTAATCTTGGACCTTCCAGCCTCCAGAACTGTAAGAAATAAATGCCTGTTGTTTAAGTCACACATTGTATGGTAATTTGTTATAGCTGCCTGAACTAAGACACCATGCAGACACTAATATAGTCAACTCATCTTTGATAAAGGATCAAAAGCAATTCACTGGAAAAAGTGTAGTCTTTTCACCAAAAAGTGTTAGACTTATAGACATCCATATGCAAAAATAAGACCTTATACCTGTCACAAAACTTAACTCAAGATGGATCACAGATCTAAATGTAAAACACAAAAGTTCTATAAAATGTCTAGAAGATAACATAGGAGAAAATCTAGATGACCTTGGGTCACCTAGATCCATGATCCATGAAAGAAAAAATGGATGAGTGGAACTTCATTGGAAAATAGGTATTCAAATGAATACATGTACACATGTTCATAGAAGCACTATTTACACTAGCCAAAAGGTGAAAACAACCCTCACGTTTATGAATGGATGAATAAATTGTGTATACATATTATATATATATATACACAATAGAATATTATTTATACAAGGGAATGAAGTACTGATATATCCTACAATGTGGATGAAACTTCAAAACATTGTGCTAAGTGAAAGAAGCCAGACACAAAATGTTACACATATCGTATGATTCCATTTATAGTAAATACCTAGAATATAGAAACAGAAGGAAAACAGAAAGCAGACTGGTGGGGGATGAAGAGTAATCTCTTAATGGGTACAGGGTTTCCTTTTAGTGTATTGAAAATGTTTTGGAACTACATAAAGCTGGTGGTTGAACAACACTGTGAATATGCTAAATGCTGCTCAATTGTTCACTTAAAAAGCTGTTACATAAATTTTGCCTCATTCAAAAAAATTTTGAAATCTGTTCTGCAGAAGACTCTGTTAAAAGAATGAAGAGACAAGCCACAGACTGGAAGAAAACATTTCCAAAATACATTGACTGAGGAACTGTATCCACAATACACAAATAACTCATAAACTCAACAATAAGAAAACAAAATATTTGGATATGTCACCAAAGAAGACAGGTAGCAAATGAGCATATAAAAAAATGTTCAACATTATATGTCATTAGAGAGCTGAAAATTACAACAAGACACCAATACATACCTACTAGAATGGCAAAAATCCAAAACACTGAAACCAAGTGCTGTTGAGGATGCCAAGCAGTAGAAACTCTCATTTATTGCTGGTGGGAATGAAAGCGGGTACAGCCACTTTGGAAGACAGTCTGGCAATTTCTTACAAAGCCAAACATAGGCTTACTATATAATCCAGCAATCATCCTCCTAGTTATTTCCTCAGTTGAACTGAAAACTTATGTCCACACAAAAACCTGCATACTAATGTTTATAGAAGCATTATTTATAATTGCCCCAAACTAGAAGCAACCAAGATGTCCTATAATGATGAAAGAATTTTAAAAAACTGTGATAAACCCATACAACAAATAAAAAGAAATGAGCTATTAAGACACTAAAAGACCTGGAAGAACCTTAAATACATATTGCTAAGTGAAAAGAAGTCAATCTGACAAGATTATATACTGTATGATTCCCATTATATGACATTCTAAAAAGGCAAAACTATAGAAACCATAAAAATATCAATGAGTTGCCAAGGAAAGGAAGAGTGTGCGAAAGATGAATATATGAATAAAAAATTTTAGGACCGTGAAACTATTCTGGATGATACTATAATGGTGGACACATGACAGTATGAATTTATCAAAAGCCACGGAACTGCACAACACAAAGACTGAAACTTAGAGTAAACTACTGACTTTAGTGAATAATAATGTACCAATATGGGTTCATTAATTGTAATAAATGTACCACACTAAGGCAAAATGATTATAGGGGAAACTTTGGGAACTAGGGGAGGGTATGGTAGGTACCAGGGAACTCTGTAGTATTTGCCCGATTTTTCTGTAAATCTAAAACTGTTCTAAAAATAAAGTCTATTTTTAAAACTAGCACGATATTTACATAGAGATAAAAAATATATCAGCCTGGCGCAGTGGCTCATGCCTGTAATCTCAGCACTTTGGAAGGCTGAGGTGGGCAGATTGCATGAGCTCAGGGGTTCGAGACCAGCCTGGGCAACATGGTGAAACCTCCTCTCCACAAAAAATACAAAAATTAACTGGGCGTGGTAGTGTGTGCCTGTAGTTCCAGCTACTCTGGAGGCTGCAGTGGTAGGATCACTTGAGCCCAGCAGGTTGAGGCTGCAGTGAGCAGTCGTTGTGCCACTGCTGGGTAACAGAGCGAGACACTGTCTCAAAAAAAAAAAAAAAGAAACTTATCAAATTGTATACTTTAAATGTTTGCCATTATACCTCAATTAAGCTGTTTAAAAAATAAACAAATAGAGTAACATCACAGAAAGTGATGGAGTACAGAACTCCAAAAATCTATCCTTCCACTAACGCAACAATTAAGCTGGATAAAAACCAGTCAAAACCAACTTTTTTTGAGCTCTAGAATCTAATCAAAAATTTACAAAACCCAGGGGAATGCTTAGTGAAGGAAGGCATGGTAAATTTTGGTAAGAGAGTGTTATGGCATTTTAATTTACCTGCCTTACCACCCCCAACTCCCTAATTCGATGACAACTTTGGGGACAGCAGTCTGCATTCCTGTTGCAGGTTGTTAGTGCCACAGGGATCAATATGGACCTTATTCTCAAATAATTGCAGCTACGTGTTTTGGTGTGTCTGGTCCTTCCCTGCAGGATCAACATAGGGGCTTGCTTTTATTTCATCCACTTGGAATTTTCTCAGAGCAGGAGTGGCCTCAAAGACAGCATATGTCAAAAGTACTTAGAGGCAAATACATTAGCCACAGCCTTCTGGGGCAAGGGACAACAGAAAGGTCAAACAGCAGAGAGAACCAAAAGCCTGGGAAAGAGGCTGGGGAAGGAAATACATGGGGAAATAAGAACTCTGAAAGAAATCCTGTATTCAGTATTCATAATAGCCAAGATATGCAATCAACCTAAGTGTCCATCAATAGATGAATGGATAAAGAAAATATGTTATATATACATAATGGAATACTATTCAGCCTTTAAAAGGAAGAAAATCTTGTCATTTGTAACAACAGGATAAACTTGGAGTATATTATCCTAACTGAAATAAGCCAGGCACAGAAAGACAAATACTGCATAATTTCACTTATGTGTGAAATTATAAAAAGTTGAATTCATAAAAGTAGATAGTAGAATGGTGATTACCAAGAACTAGGAGGTGGGGAGGAAGCATACTGGGGATACATTGGTCAAAGTATATAAAATTTCAGTTAGATAGGAGAAAAAAGTTCAGGACATCTATTGTACAACATGGTGACTACAGTTAATAATATTATATACTTGAAAATTGCCAACAGAGTAGATTTTAGATGTTCTCACCACAAAAAAATGTTAAGTATGTGAGGTAATGGATATGTTGACTAGCATGATTTAGCCATTCCAAAATATATACATATATTAAAACATTATGTTTTACATCATAAATGCATACCTTTTTTTTTTTTTTGAGACCGAGTCTTGCTCTGTTGCCCAGACTGGAGTGCAGTGGTGTGATCTCGGCTCACTGAAACCTCTGCCTCCCAGGTTCAAGCAATTCTCCTGCCTCAGCCTCCTGAGTAGCTGAAACTACAGGCGCATGCCACTACGCCCAGCTAATTTTTTGTATTTTAGTAGAGATGGGGTTTTACCGTGTTGTCCAGGCTGGTTGCGGACTCCTGAGCTCAGGCAATCTGCCCTCGTTGGCCTCCCAAAGTGCTGGGATTACAGGTATGAGCCACCGTGCCTGGCCAATGCATACAATTTTTATTTGTCAATATAGAAAATCAATCAATCAATCAATCAATCAGGAAAGTACATGCAGATACTGGGGAATCTAGAAGGCCACATGCATGTCCAGAGCAGGACACATACTCAGAAAAAAATCTACATTTGCAACTCCTATGGACATTCAGGCTTCATGCAAGTAGGAAGCAAAGGCTAAGAAAGAGGTGTAAATGACATAGCTAAGCACTGAAACAATGCTCCAATACAGAACCAATCTGCAAAGACCATGAAAGGTTTTTCTTTGTTTGTTTTTGTATGAGGAATCTAAGGAAATTTCTGGCCAATCACAAGCTCACCACTAAGGTAATGGAAAGATACTTCAGTGACTACATTAGGCAAAGAATACAGTCTTTAAAAATAATAGTTTAGGCTGGGCACAGTGACTCATGCCTGTAATCCCACTTTGGGATTACACTTTGGGAGGCTGAGGTGGGAAGACCACTTGAGCACAGGAGTTCAAGACTAGCCTGGGCAACATAGCGAGACCTTGTCTATCTCTCTAAAAAAAAAAATTAGCTGGGGCCAGGCACGGTGGCTCATGCCTGTAATCCCAGCACTGAGAGGCTAAGGCAGGCAGATCACCTGGGGTCAGGAGTCTGAGACCAGCCTGACCAATATGGTGAAACCCCATCTCTACTAAAAATACAAAAATTAGCTGGGCATGGTGGCGTATGCCTGTAATCCCAGCCACTTGGGAGGCTGAGGCAGGAGAATCGCTTGAGCCTGGGAGGCGGAGGCGGAGGTTGCAGTGAGCTGAGATCATGCCACTGCACTCCAGCCTGGGCAACAGAGCAAGACTCTATCTAAAAAAAAAACACAAAAAAATTAGCTGGGCATGGTGGCATGCACTACGCGGGGGTCTGAGGTGGGAGGATTGCTTGAGCCCAGGATGTTGAAGCTGCAATGAGCTGTGACTGAACCACTGCACTCCAGCCTGGGAGACAGAGCAAGACCCTGTCTCAAACAATAATAATAGTAATAATAATAATAGTTTAGAAATAGAAAATTGGAACAGACCTATAACTAGTAAGGAGATTTAATCAGTAATCAAAAAATTTCCCCAAACACAAAGCCTAGAACCAAATGGCTTTACTGGTAAATTCTATCAAACACTTAGAGAATAACTACCACCAAAACCTGTCAAGTTATTCCAAAAAGTCGAATAGGATGCAATGCTTCCCAACTCATTCTATGAGGCCAGCAAAACCCTGATACCAAAGCCAGACAATGACACTACAAGAAAAGAACAGACCAATATCCCTGATGAATACTGTTGCAAAAATCCTCAACAAAATAGTAGCAAACAAAATTCAACCGCACATTAAAATGATTATACACCATGATGAAATAGGAGCTGTTCCTGGAATGCAACGATGGTTCAACATACAAAAATCAATTAATATATCACATTAATAGAATTAAGGAAAAAACTATCGTCTATATGACTATTTCAATTAATGCAGAAAAGCATTTGACAAAATTCAATACCTTTTCATGATTAAAAAAAAGCCCACCCAAAAAAACTCCCAAACTAGGAACAGAAGAAAACTATCTCAGCAAAATAAAGGCCAGTACATATACACACTGGAGTACTATTCAGCCATAAAAAAAATGAGATCTGTCATTTGCAACAACATAGATGGAACTGGAGATCATTATATTAAGTGAAAGAAGCCAGGCACAGAAAGGCAACCATCGTATATTTGCAGTTATTTGTGGAATCTAAAAATCAAAACAATTGAACTCATGGACATAAAGAGTAGGAGGATGGTACCAGAAGCTGGGAGGGGTAGTGGAAAAGTAGGAAGGAGGTGGAGATGGTCAATGGGTACAAAAAATATATATAGTAATGGGTACAAAAAATATATATAGTTAAAAAGAATAAATAAGACCTACTATTTGATAGCACAAGGTGACTATAGTCAACAATAACTTAATTGTACATTTTAAAAGAACTAAAACAGTATAACTATTGCTTATAACACAAAGGAAAAAGGGTGACTATAGTGAACAATAACTTAATTGTACATTTTAAAAGAATTAAAACAGTATAACTGTATTGCTTATAGCACAAAGGAAAAACGGTTGAAGGGATGGATAATCCCATTCTCCATGATGTGATTATTTTACATTGCATGCCTGTATCAAAACATTTCATGTACCCCCATAAATATATATACCTACTATGTACCCACAAAATTAAAAAAAAAATTTTAAATGTTACCAATTTATAGTCTTCCTCCACCAAAGGTATATAACAATTCCCATTTTATTATACATTTACCAATATTAAATCATTTCATAAACGAAAAAGCAAAAACAAAATAAAAAAACATAATAAAGTCCATATATGAAAAGCCCAGAATCTTTTACTCATACTCAATGATGAAAGACAAAGTCATCATACTCAATGATGAAAGACAAAGTCATCATACTCAATGATGAAAGACAAAGCTTTTCTTCTAAGTTCAGAACAAGGTGAGGATGCCTGCTTTTACCACTTCTATTCAACATAGTTTTGGAAGTCCTAGCTAGAGCAATTAAGCAAGAAGAAATAAAAGATAATGAAATCGAAAAGGAAGATATAAAATCATTTTTGTTTGCAGATAACACGATCTTATATGTAGAAAACTCTAAAGATTACACACACACACACACACACACACGCAACTGTTCAAACAAATAATAGAATTCAGCCAAGTAGCCAGATACAAAATCAACATGCAAAAATCAGCTGCACTTCTATGTATTAACAATGAACAATCCAAAAAAGAAATTATGAAAATAATTCCATTTACAATATCATTAAACACAATAAAATACTTAGGAATAAACTTAACCAAGGACGGAAAAGACTTGTATACTAAAAAGTATAAAACATTGCTAAAAGAAATTAGAGAAGACACCAATAAATGGAAAGATACCCATGTTCATGGATTGGAAGACTTACTATTATAGTTTTTTGTTTTTTTGAGACAAGGTCTCGCTCTGTCACCCAGGCTGGTGTCATGGCGGAATCATGGCCCACGGCAGCCTCAACCTCCTGGGCTCAAGCAATTCTCCCATCCCAGCCTCCAGAGCCTCCAGAGTAGCTGGAATTATAGGCGCACACCACCACACCCAGCTAATTTTTGTATTTTTTGTAGAGACGAGGTCTCGCCATGTTGCCCAGGCTGGTCTCAAACTCCTGGGCTCATGCGATCTGCCTGCCTCAGCTTCCCAAAGCGCTGGGATTGTAGGCATGAGCCACCACACCTGGCTGAAACAATTACTGTTGTTAAGATGTTCAATACTACCCTAAGTGACCTACAGATTCAATGCAATCCCTATCAAAATCCCAACAACTTTTTTTTTTTGCAGAAATAAAATATACCATACTAAAATTCATATGGAATCTCAAGGGACCCTGAATAGCTAAAACAATCTTGAAAAAGAAGAGGTAAGGCATGATGGCTCACGCCTGTATTCCCAGCACTTTGGGAGGTTGAGGTAGGAGGATCACTTGAGCCCAGAGGTTTGAGACCAGCCTGAGCAACACGGCAAGATCCTCTCTCTACAAAAAAAAATTTAAAAATTAGCCAGCTGTGGTGATGTGCACCTGTGGTCCTAGCTACTCAGAAGGCTGAGACAGGAGTATTACTTAAGCCCAGAAGGTTGAGGCTGCAGTGAGCCACGATCATGCCACTGCACTTCAGACTGGGCGACAGAGCAAGACCCTGTCTCAAAAAGAAAAAAGAATAAAAAGTTGGAAGACTCACACTTTCCAGTTTCATATAGACCGAATGGATCAGAATTAAAAGCCCAGAAATAAATCCTACATATATAATCAAATGATTTTTACAAGGGTGCCAAGATCATTTAATGGGGAAAGGACATTCTTTTCAACAAATGGGGCCAGGCATGGTGGCTCACGCCTGTAATCCCAGCACTATGGAAGTCTAAGGCGGGAGGACTGCTTGAGCCCAGGAGTTCAAGACTAGTGTGAGCAACATAGGAGACCCCATCTCTACCAAAAATACAAAAATTATCCAGGTGTGGTGGCATGCACCTGTAGTCCCAACTACTTGGGAGGCTGAGGTGGGAGGATTAATTGAGCCCAGAAGGTCGAGGCTACAGTGAGCCATGATCATATCACTGCACTCCAGCCTGGGTAACAGAGCAAGACTCTGTCTCAAATAAATAAATAAATGGTACCAGGAAAACTGAACATCCACAAGCACAAGAATGAAGTTGGACCCTTACTTTACACCACATATGAAAATCTACAAATAGATCAAAGACTTAAATGTAAGACTAAAACTATAAAACTCTTAAAAGAAAATATAGCGTAAAAGCTTCATAATGTTGGATTTGAAAATGATTTCTTGGGTAAGACATCAAAAACACAAGCAACAAAAGAAAAAATGAATTGTAACAAAATTTATAAAACTTATGTGCATCAAAGGACACAATTAACAGAATAAAAAGGCAGCCTACAGAATGGGAGACAATATTTGCACATTGTATGTCTGACAGGCGGTTAAATATAAAGAACTCTTACAGCTCAGTAACAAAAAAGCAAGCAATCTGATTAAAAAATGGGGAAGGGGCTGGGCATGGCGGCTCACACCTGTAATCCCAGCACTTTGGTAGGCTGAGGCAGGCGGATTGCTTGAAGTCAGGAGTTCAAGACCAGCCTGGCCAACATGGTGAAACCTCATCTCTACTAAAACTACAAAAATTAGCCAGGTATGGTGGCGCACACCTGTAATCCCAACTACTCAGGAGTCTGAGGCAGGAGAATCACTAGAACCCGGGAGGTGGAGGTTGCAGTGAGCCGAGATAGCGCCACTGCACTCCAGCCTGGGTGAGAAAGTGAGACTTTGTCCCCCCTCAAAAAAAAAAAAAAAGGGGGAAAGGACTTGAAGAGACATTTCTTCAGAAGATATATAAATGGCCAATAAGCACATGAAAAGCTGCCCAACATTACTAATGATTAGAGAAATGCAAATCAAAAGCACAATGAGATACCACTTTATACCCATTAGGATGGCTATTACTTAAAAAACAAAAAAACAGCAACAAATGTTGGCATGAATGTGGAAACCAGGGCACTGTGCACTGTGCACTGCTGTTATGGAAAACATGGTGTTTCCTCAAAAAATCAAACACAGAATTTCCATCTGATCCAGTAATTCTACTCCTGAGTATATGTACAAAAGAACTGAAAGTAGGGGATCAAACGTATTTGTACATCAATGTTAATAGTAGCGTTATTCACAACATCTAAAAGGTGGAAGCAACCCAAGTGGCCATTGACAGACAAATGGATAAACCAAATGTGGTCTATCCATACAATACAATGGAATATTACTCAGCCTTAAAAACGAAGGAAATTCTGACACATGCTACAACAAGATAAACCTTAAAGACATGCTAAGTGAAATAAGCCGGACACAAAAGGACAAATATTATATGATTCCACTGATACGAGGTACCTAGAGTAGTTGAATTCATAGAGACAGAAAGTAGAACAGTGGTTACCAGGAGCTGGTACTAGGGAGAAATGGGCAGTTATTGTTTAATGGTACACAGCTTGAGATGATGAAAAAGTTCTGGAGATGGACTGTGGTTATAGTTGTATAACAAGGTGAATGTTTAATATCACTGAAGTGTATACTTAAAAGAAGTAAGATTGTAAATTTTATGTTACATTTTTATCATACTTAAAAATTTTTTAATAGTAAATTTTACGTTATGTATAGTTTACCACAATCTTAAAAAACAAAACAAACAAGGCCGGGCACGGTGGCTCACACCTGAAATCCCAGCACTTTGGGAGGGTGAGGCGGGTGGATCACGAGGTCAGGAGATTGAGACTATCCTGGCTAACATGGTGAAACCCCATCTCCAGTAAAATACAAAAAAAAAAAAATTAGCCGGGCATAGTGGCGCATGCCTGTAGTCCCAGCTACTCAGGAGGCTGAGGCAGGGGAATCGCTTGAACCTGGGAGGCAGAGGTTGCAGTGAGCCGAGACTGTGCCACTGCACTCCAGCCTGGTGACAGAGTGAGACTCCATCTCAAAAAACGAACAGGCCGGGCGCGGTGGCTCACGCCTGAAATCCCAGCACTTTGGGAGGCCGAGGTGGGTGGATCACAGGGTCAGGAGTTCAAGACCAGCCTGGCCAACATAGTGAAACCCCGTCTCTACTAAAAAATACAAAAAATAAGCCAGGTGTGGTGGCGGGCGCCTGTAATCCCAGCTACTCGGGAGGCTGAGGCAGGAGAATCACTTGAACCTGGGAGGTGGAGGTTGCAGTGAGCCAAGATTATGCCATTGCACTCCAGCCTGGGCAATAGTGTGAGACTCTGTCTCAAAAACAAAAACAAAACAAAAACAAAAACAAAAACAAAAAACAAACTAGTGTTTTTAAGCCCTCTCCAGCTCATCCCTGATTACAAGAATCCTAGGAAAAATATAAAAAACAACCACTTGAAGACTCTGAAAAGTAAACAAAAACTGGTAGATTGTGGAAAGAAGTCAAACTTGGAGAAGTAAACCAAACAGAAGAAGTGAGTTTCCCAAACTTTTTCCTCTCTTTTCTCTTAGTTTTGCTCAAGCATGTACCTCAGTCATGATGCTGCTCAATGAAGGCACCTACTCTAATAGAAATCTATTTTAGGCAACAGAGATCAGAAAAGGGCCCCCTTTAGGCAGGAAAGTATGGAGGGAATTCTAGAAGAAAGGCAGCCAGGAAAAGGGACGCTTTAATTCTGTGTATTAATCCAAACAAGTCTCAGCCTAACCTGTCTACTATGCGTGTGCATGACAGTCTCAAACCAGCGTAGCCAAGGCTTATAGAACTAAATTGAGATTTGAACCATTGTCCACAGATGATGAGACCAAATTTACATTCTAAACCTAATCAGGTTGCCTGCTAGATAAAATATTAACAATCTCTAGAGAGTTACAAAAGGACCCAGAGTCTATGCAACATAGTATTCATGACATTTAAGTTGCAATCCTAAATTACCTGACATACAAAGAACAGGAAAATGTGACCCACTCTCATGGGAAAAGATAATCAACAGACACCAGCCTAGAAATGAGCCAGACATTGGAAATATCCAACAAAGATTTTTAAAAGCAGCTATTATACTACATAGCTCAAAGAGGTAAAGGAAAACGTATCTGAAATGATTTGGAGGGTGATGGAAACAGGAATGCTTGTTATCTTGATTGTAGTGATGATTTCACAGGGGAATACATATGTAAAAACTGATCAAGCTGTACACCATAAATATGTATAGTTTACTATAGATACAGCTCAATAAAGTTGTAAAAAAATAAAGTAACAGGCCGGGTGCAGTGGTTCACGCCTGTAATCCCAGCACTTTGGGAGGCCAAGACGGGCAGATCACGAGGTCAGGAGATCGAGACCATCCTGGTTAACATGGTGAAACCCCGTCTCTACTAAAAATACAAAAAATTAGCCAGGCGTGGTGGCAGGCGCCTGTAGTCCCAGCTACTTGAGAGGCTGAGGCAGGAGAATGGTGTGAACCCGGGAGGTGGAGCTTGCAGTGAGCCAAGATCATGCCACTGCACTCCAGCATCAGCGACAGAGCGAGACTCCGCCTCAAAAAAAAAAAAAAAGGTAACATTAACCACATCTGTACCAAGCACAAAGTAAATATTATTAATGAACATTTTACAGATTAGGAGATTGAAGTTCAGAAAGATTAGGTACTGGCGAAACATTACAAAGTTAATCAGGTCCAGGATTCTAATACAGACTTTTCTGATCAAAGACTATAATTACCTGAATAAACAATACAGCCTTAATTCTATTTAATTCATGAGGTTATTAGCAGGACTGAGCAAAGTATGACTCTAAAACATTTTAAACTCATATGAGATCGGTAACATTAGTGCACAGATTTTATACCACCAATTACATATTATTAATTTCTTACTAAATTGACAGAAATTTCCCCTCTAGTAACAAATTCCAAAGGAAATATCTAGCAGTGAGCATAGGCTGCATTTAAACCTTTACTTTTTTCACACTGCGTGTCTCAGAAATATAGAAGCAGTATTACATACTGATGGCACTATGTGGATTAATCCATTGGTAAAATTCATAAAAGATATACAATCCATATATGATTATCTGTAGTATTTTCAAAATCCAGTGTTTATTTTACTCCTGTAACACAAAACCATCCAATCATTTCAAATGATGTTATAGAAAAGTATTTAATTACCTGGAAATACGGTCACAATATGATAAATAATAAAAACAGGTTATAAAAAGTATTCATTGGCTGGGCACGGTGGCTCACACCTGTAATCCCAGCACTTTGGGAGGCTGAGACTGGCAGATCATGAGGTCAAGAGATCGAGACCATCCTGGCCAACATGGTGAAACCCCATCTCTACTAAAAGTACAAAAATTAGCTGGGCCTGGTGGCACGCGCCTGTAGTCCCAGCTACTCAGGAGGCTGAGGCAAGAGAATTGCTTGAACCTAGGAGGCGGAGGTTGCAGTGAGCCAAGATCGCGCCACTGCACTCCAGTCTGGCGACAGAGCGAGACTCTGTCTCAAAAAAAAAAAAAAAAAAAAAACGGCTGGGTGCGGTGGCTCATGCCTGTAATCCTAGCACTTTGAGAGGCCGAGGCGGGTGGATCATGAGGTCAGGAGATCGAGGCCATCCTGGCTAACACGGTGAAACCCCGTCTCTACTAAAAATACAAAAAAAATTAGTCGGGCGCGGTGGTGGGCGCCTGTAGTCCCAGCTACTCGGGAGGCTGAGGCAGGAGAATGGCATGAACCTGGGAGGCAGAGCTTGCAGTGAGCCGAGATCGCACCACTGTACTCCAGCCTGGTGACAGACCAAGTCTCTGTCTCAGAAAAAAAAAAAAAAAAATTAAAGAGTAAAGATAACATTATTTTTTTGCTTCTCTGAATTTTCAAAATATTCTATAATATAGTGTTTTTAATATGAAAAAAGATAAAAGCTATTGTTTCAAAATGTAACAATAAACAAATACGTCTCCACTTCCCAAGGTGAATCATCTTTGTTTCTATCTAGATCTGAGTGTGCCTTTCTTGCAAGGTGCAGTGACAGTCTTGTAGCACTCACCTGTCCAACTGCTTGTAGGTTATAGCAGATGATGTCCTTATTTGCTACTGAAGCTCCATAGAGAAGTGTCTCCGTGAGCCAGCAAAGTCCCAGGAGCAGGTCACAGAAGCTCAGATAAAAAAGTGGTCTTATCTGTCAAAGTAATAAAATCCTCATTTCATATGTGATGTAGCTAGGAGAATGTTAACAATGTAACAGTTCTTACATTTTATGTTTCTAGTAGGAAACTGACATCATTTTTCTGGGGCCTCTGCCATTGGTTGATTGTGGGCAATGCAAGGGAAGACTACAGATAGGAAGGAATCTATAACCACTATAACCACAGTTATCCCAACTGTTCTGGAATCAGAGTACTCATGGATAGATTAGTACTGAACCTTCTTACTCACAGGGACACTCCTTTCTTAGGTATAGGGTTAAAAAAAGAGTGGAAAGATGAGAAATTTTGTGGTGGAGATGTACCACAAGGAGACAATTGAGAGTGCTTTAGTGGCACAGGCAACATCTTCTACTTTTTTTTTTTTTTTTTGGAGACAGAGTTTCGCTCTGTCGCCCAGGCTAGAGTGCAGTGGCACGATCTCGGCTCATTGCAAGCTCTGCCTCCTGGGTTCACACCATTCTCCTGCCTCAGCCTCTCAAGTAGCTGGGACTACAGGCGCCCAGCACCACGCCTGGCTAATTTTTTGTATTTTTAGTAGAGATGGGGTTTCACCGTGTTAGCCAGGACGGTCTCGATCTCCTGACCTTGTGATCCACCCTCCTCGGCCTCCCAAAGTGCTGGGATCACAGGCATGAGCCAAACATCTTCTAAATATAAGAAATGAGGTATTCTGCTAAGTGTTTAGGGATGTGGCTGAGGACTTAAAGAAAATGAAAACGTTTACAGTAATAAAAAGTCAGGGTAAAAAGTCAGTAATACTGAAAAATGTCAGAATGAACTGTATGTGTTGCCTTTCGGTTTCTGACCACACTGGTGAAATTTGTCTCTTCTTATTCTTCTCCTTTTGGCATCCCCATTCCCACTTATCTAAAAATAGTTTTGGTCCTATGGAGAAAATTATAAACCATTTATTGAGGGACTCCTAAAGATTAAATGCAATCTCAATGAAATCTCAACCTATTTTCCTGTGGAACTTGACAAGCTGACTCTGAATCTGATGTGGAAGTACAAAATATCACCCTGTGAGCCACAATCCAAGGGAGTAACAGTGGGGTGTTTGCCATCTTAGGGAGAAGCTCTCATCCATGGCACACCTGGCATGGGTGAACTCCTTCAATGTGCCACACCTGCAGCTGGTGGACGATGGCCTCACGGACCTCCACAGCGGTCCCACAAGACCCGCAAGGCCCCCCCACTGCTCTCTTAACCTGGCAGCTGCTGCCTTATAAAAGTACAGTTGTGAATTTGACTCCACGAAGTATTATGCATTGTGTGGCTCTCGTGGGGTCTTAGGTTGTGGTCTGACACACACTGCGGTCATTCCCCTGGGTTTAGTGAAATGCTGTATGCAGGTGGACCCCCAAAAGTAGAAGGGCATATTTAATGGATTCTCAGTTACACTTAAGGAGGATGGTGTTCATTCTTTGGCTAAAGGACAGGCTCTGACTTTCATTGGCCACTCCATGCAGGTGTTCTGCAAGTTTGGCTTTTATGAAGTCTTTAAAGTCTTGTATAGCAACATACTCCCAGAGCATGTTATCTCTGGTGCACATCACTGTATTTGGCTGCCTCTGCCAGTGCTGAATTCTTTGCTGTAATTGCCCTATGGAAGCTGCTAAGGTTCAAATTCAAACCCAACCAGGTTAGACCAAGACTTTGAGGGATGCAGCTCCCAAGATGTATAAGGAAGAAGGCCTAAAAACATTCTACAAAGGGGTTGCTCCTCTCTGGATGAGACAGATAGCATATGCCATGATGAAGTTTGCCTGCTTTTAAGGTACTGTTGAAGCATTGTACAAGTTTGTGGTTCGGAAGCCCTGTGGTGAATGTTCAAAGACAGAGGAGCTGGTTGTAACATTTGTAGCAGGTTACATACCTGGAGTGTTTTGTGCAATTGTTTCTCACCCTGATGATTCTGTGGTATCTGTGTTGAATAAAGAAAAAGGTAGCAGTGCTTCTCAAGTCCTCCAGAGACTTGGATTTAAAGGTGTATGGAAGGGAATGTTTGTCTGTATCATTATGACTGGTACTCTGACTGCACTACAGTAGTTTATCTATGATTCTGTGAAGGTCTACTTCAGCCTCCCTTGCCCTCCCCCAAGATGCCAGAATCTCTGAAGAAGCAGCTTGGGTTAACTCAGTGACAGATCAAAGCAAATGTGGACTGAAACTGCTTGTTGATCAGTGTTGAAGAACGTACAAAAGGAACTTTCATATATTTGACAGTGTAGGAAATTGTCTATTCCTGATATAATTACTAGAGTACTTTCACTTAAGTCAAGAGTTTCAAATTTACTATTGAAATAAACCCAACTCTTCAGGAAAAAAAGAAAGAAATATAAAATATTAAGATAACCAAGACACTCTTGAAAAAAAAAGAAGAACTTGCCCCACCTCATCTTAAGACTTATCGTGGGATCTGGCCAGCAGCCCGCAATGCAACGGGGCTCTTTCTTTGTTCCCAGGTGGATCGGCAGGTCGAGAAATAAAAGACACACACAAAATAGTGAAAGCTGGGTCCAGGGCGTCACCGCCTTCTGGTCCTGTGATGCCGCCAATGCACTGGATATACTGGCATTTATTATTAAGTTTAGTGAGGGCGGGGGTAGGTTAGTGAGGGATTTAGGGGGTCATTTGATTATGAGGTGAGATGATCACATGGGGATGAAGTAATTCTTTAATGTAACATCGGTATGCATAAGTACAGTATACAGAGATAAGAATTTACAACATAGTGTGTGTGTCAGCAATTTCTAACAGAGCCTTAAAACAGAAACACAGTCTATCCATAACCTATGTTTAGTAAGATACTAATCAGCAGTAATATTTGCAGCAAAAGCTGGTTGCAAACAATCAACAGAAACAGGATGTGAAACAACCGGTTAGACCACAAATTCTCAGAAGGGAGTATGCCTTAACCCTAAAGAGACCCAGAAAAGCCGTGGCAAGATAAGGGCGTTTATAACCCTATCTTATCCATATGAACAAGCGCCCCTCATGTGTCTATTTATAGGCTCTCCACAAGGGTTGCATTGCATTCCCAGAGCTATGAACATCTGCTTTTCTGGGATAGTAATCTTGGTGATGTGAAACCTCCCTGACTGCACGTCCGTTTATAGGCTCTCTGCAGGGAGAAGCACATCACGCACTGTTGGCTCATTCTGGCAGCCAAACCTTGCATTGTCTTTACAAAATCCTGCATGCAATTTTGTATTTACAATAATCAGGAGCATTTCATCTTTTATTCCATAGCAATAGTTTCAGGAGGTCTCCCTACAAAAACTAACATAGACCTAGAGTGAAGATACTGTGGTACTAGTACAGGGATGGACAAATAGGTGAATAAAATGAAAATAGCCCAAATTAAACCCAGCAATATATATATAGATCTCTGATGTATGACATAAGTGGCTTTTTCAATCAGTGGAAAAGAGACAGTCTTTTCAAAATATGAAGCTAGAACAATTGGGTATCCATACAGGAAAAAAAAATGAAATTAGGCCCCTACTTTGTATCTCACACTACACTCAAAAAATCAGTTCTAGGACGGGCATGGTGGCTCACGTCTGTAATCTCTGCACTTTGGGAGGTGGGCAGATCACCTGAGGTCAGGAGCTCAAAACCAGCCTGGCCAACATAGTGAAACCCCATCTCTACTAAAAATACAAAAATTAGCTGGGCATGGTGGCGGGCGCCTGTAATTCCAGCTACTCAGGAGGCTGAGGCAGGAGAATCATTTGAACCCAGGAGGCGGAGGTTGCAGTGAGCCGAGATCATGCCACTGCACTCCAGCCTGAGCGACAGAGTGAGACTCCATCTAATCAGTTCTAGGTCAGGCTCAGTGACTATATGACTATAATCCTAACATTTTGGGAGGCCGAGGCAGGAGGACTGCTTGAGCCCAGGAGTTCAAGACCAGACTGGGAAACATGGTGAGACTCCATCTCTACAAATAAAATAAAAAATAAAAAAATTAGCTGGGCATGGTGACACACACTTGTGGTCTCAGCTACTTGGGAGTCTGAGGCAGGAGGATCACTTGAGCCCAGGAGGTCAAGGCTGCAGTGAGCCATGATTGCATCACTGCACTTCAGCCAGGGAAACAGAACAAGACCCTGTCTCAAAAAAAAAAAAAAAAAAAAAAATCTATTCCAAGTAGTTTAAAGACCTAAATGTGAAAGGACAAAAACTGTAAACCTTTTTTTTACATTCTATAGGAGAATGTCTTCAATTTTTGTTTAGGGAAAATTTTCCTAAACAAAACACAAAAAGTACTAAAAGAAATAATGAAAAAAATCAACCACATTAAAATGAAAAATTGAGTCTGTGTCAAGACACCATAAAGAAAGTAAAAAGACATACCACAAAATAGAAGATATTTGTAACACATATAACTGACAAAGGATCCAAACTGTGTTTTAAAAAAATTACTAAGTAGTAAGAAAAACTCAACAGAAAAACAGGCAAAAATATTTAACAAAAGAGGAAATCCAAATGGCCATAAACATATGCAAATATGCCCTACTTTATTAGTAATAAAGGAAATGAAAAATTAAAACCACAATAAGAAAATAATTACACACCCATGGCAAAAATTTTAAGTCTGATAACAGCAAGTATTAACGGGAACAAAAAGCAACAGGACACTTTATACACTGCTGGCACAACCAGTTGGAAAAGAGTTTGACATTAATTTAGGGGCAGTGGAAATCCTATGACAATTCTGATATTGGGCAAATATACTAGATAAGCTTATGCATTTGCGCACCAGAAAACATGTACAAGAATGCTTATAGCAGCATAATGTACAAGAATGCTTATACAATAATGCTTATGTACAAGAAAACATGTACAAGAATGCTTATAGCAGCATAAGCAGGTAAATAAATTTTAGTATATTCATACTACAGAATACCAGACATCAATGAAAATGAAATGAACTCATGCTCTATACAACGTGGATACATCTCACAAATAATATTGAGGGATAAAAGCAATTCATAAAACAATACGTACAAAAATACATATAGCATTATTCCAATTATATCAAGTTCAAAAACAAGCAAAACCAAATTGTTTAAACATACATACATTTCTGGTAAACCGTACATAAGAGTAAAAAAATGCTTATCACAAAAATCTGGATACTGATTATCTCTAGAGGTGAGAGGGAGAGCTGTGATTGGGAAGAACCTCAATAGGTATATGTCTGGAAGTACAGGTAATGTTCCATTTCTTGTCACTAGTGTTTGTTTATAATCATTCTTTAAATAGTACATACATGTTTCATGCATTCTAGTTCATGTCTGGTATATCTCACAATAAAAAAATACATTTACAAATTTTAAAGTCCTGGCCAAGCACTGTGGCTCAAGCCTGTAATGCCAGCACTTTGTGAGGCTGAGGCGGGAAGACTGAATGAAGCCAGGAGTTCCAGGCCAGCCTTGGCAACATAACAAGACCCCTGTCTCTACAAAATTAAAAATTAAAAAAAATAGCTGGCTATAGTGGCGTGCACCTGTAGTCCCAGCTATTCAGGAAGCTGAGGTGGCAGGATTGCTTGGGCCTAGCAGTTTGAGGCTACAGTAGGCTATGATCCTGTACTATGGCCTGAGTGGCACAGCAAAATCCTGTTATCTAAAAAAAAACAAAAACAAACAAACAAAAAAAACAAACAGAACAGATATTACCTAATATGAGAACTAATCTCCCCACATGTACAAAACAGAATTTTTCTCATCTCTTTCTCCCAAGCCCACCTATACAAGAGGATTTTTCTCATATATTTCTCCCAAACCAGAAAAAGAGGTAAGATGCTAATTAATATCTTGTTAATAGGGTTAGATGGTCAAGTTGCCTTGGCTAACAGAAACATAAAAAAGTGAAATAATATGTAATAAAACATTTAAAAGTATAAAGTATTTAATAAATATCAGCTATTATGTTAACCACATATGGCCTTTTCTCTGGGTAAGCTTGCTAAAATTCCAGTTGGATGGCACAGTCATAGATTCTACTGGCTTATGACCTATCATAAGTTTATAACTGTTAAGAGATTTAAAAATGTGAAATGGTGAAGTCAAGAAATATATAAAGAAAAATCTCTAAATTTAAAATGTTTTATTTGGGAAGCAAGAATTGCATTTCAGGGCATACACACAGACTGCGTGGTCTTGGACATGTCTGAAGAACAAAGAGATGACTGGGAGTTTTATTAGAAGGGAAATAGTACATGTTGTTTTGAAAGCAAGCTCACTGGCACCAAAGAAAGTTTTGGGAGTCGGCAAACTCTGATTAGTGAGTGACCGTGGTATGTAAAACTAGTCCTAAGAGACAGGGCAAGTCATTTTGGCAACTACAAGATCAAACTGGTCTCAGGGTTACATTGGACTATTTTAGTAGCTGGGCTTGTGAAAATATTAATTATTGGAGCAGGTGCTATGTGCTCTGAGAGCTTGTTCCCCTTGGCTTCTCGACTCCAATTTAGTTGGGTATGACAAGAATGATCCAATATGTATAATCAACTTTCACATAAATAATCCCTGGAGAAGAAAAGCAGCCATGCAGCTTTTGTGAGCAATAACATTCTGATCATTAATTCAAGAAATAGCCCTATGAGGCTGGGCGCAGTGGCTCATGCCTGTAATCCCCAGCACTTTGGGAGGCCGAGGCGAGCAGATCACCTGAGGTCAGGAGTTTGAGACCAGCCTGACCAATATGGTGAAACCCTGTCTCTACTAAAAATACAAAAAAATTAGCCAGGCATGGTGGCATATGCCTGTAGTCCCAGCTACTTGGGAGGCTGAGGCAGAAGAATCACTTGAATCCAGGAGATGGAGGTTGCAGTGAGCTGAGATCACACCACTGCACTCCAGCCTGAATGACAAAGCGAGACTCTCAGGAAAGGCAAAGGGGGAAAGGGGGAAAGGAAAGGAAAGGACCCTATGTATAGGGAGATGTTAAAACATATCAGAAGTCTTTGGCAGGGCAAAGGAGGACAAAACGAGGTGAGGTTTGCTTGCACTCAATTCTAATAACAGGAGATAAAGTTCAATCAATTATACAACAAAAATTAACTGAGTACCTATTATTGAAATCAAGAAAAATTCTACCCCTCCTATGTATAACAAGGCATTATTTTGAAGGAAATACAAAGAAATGTATAATATAGGTCATGCTCTTAAGAAAAATACAACCAGCCTAGTGCCTGGTAATAAAGAAAACCCAAAAAAGCATAAGATATGATCCTAAACATGAAAGCAAAAACTCTTAAAAAAAAACCCACATATATATACATTTGTATTTGTCCTTTTTTTTTACTTAGAAATTCAACTTTATTTACAAATGTTCTTCTATTTACAAAGAGGCCATTCTAGCTCTTTAAAAATATTGTAACTTGGCCGGGCGCGGTGACTCACGCCTGTAATCCCAGCACTTTGGGAGGCCAAGGCGGGTGGATCACGAGGTCAGGAGTTCAACACCAGCTTGACCAACATGGTGAAACCCCATTTCTACTAAAAATACAAAAATTAGCTGGGCATGCTGGCGCATGCCTGTAATCCCAGCTACTCGGGAGGCTGAGCCAGAATTGCTTGAACCGAGACCCTGGTGACAGAGGTTGCAGTGAGCTGAGACTGCACCACTGCACTCCAGCTTGGGCTACAGAGCGAGACTCCATCTCAAAAAAAAAATAAAATAAATTATATATACATATATATACACATGTATATAGTAACTAATAATTTTCACAAAAACCATTTACATTGTTTCAAACTTTCTGTTTAAAACTGTACTATGAGATGAGCAAACAATCCCACAAGATGATTTGAGACATAAAAAAATAAATAAAAGACAACCTATCCAGCATGAATGTCCTATTGACAAACACAATGAAGAATTAAGAATCACAACCCACAGTGTGCCACTTCACCAAGAAATGGAACTGTAAAGATTTTGGGGGAGGTAAATGCTTCACAACAGTCTTCTTGTGTAGTATAGTTTAATTGTGACTGTTTAGGACTGCTCTTGCAGGCTAATATTTATGCTGCTTTTTTTTGTTTAAAGTCATCACTGTAGAAAGGGTAGACTTTTGTAGATTTTTCTAACAATGAAAATATGTAGACACTGGTCTGGTCTCATCATTTAGTCCAATTAATAAAATAATAAATGCATTAAAAAAGTAAAACAAAATCATCATGTGACTAACACAATTCTCCTTGATATATCAGAGAGTATTACTCCTCAATAGTGTCTATAAATTTGAATTATTCATAGATGAAACAATATACAAACAAAATAATTAACCAAGGAGTTCAAAATAAAATCACTCAAATTACCTATTTATCATTTTATGTGTAGCAATTACTTTTTTAAAATCCTTTAAATTTTATCTAGAGATAAGCATTCACATCATGGCTAAGTCCCAAAGAACTTCAAAACTTTTTAAAAAAATTCATCCCTCAGAAATGAGAGATAGAAAAATAACTTTAAAAACAGAAACAACAGTCTTATGCACTCTTTTAACAATCTCAGCACAGAGCGAGCTACTATTAACAGTAAGCAAATATTCCAGTCCTGGAGAGTTACTGCCTCTCATGATCTGATTTTTTTTTCTTTTTTTTTTTTTTGAAATAGGGTCTCACTTTGTCACACAGGCTGGAGTGCAGTGGCCCGATCTTGGCTTACTGCAGTCTTACTTACTTACTTCCTGAGCCTCCCAGGCTCAAGTGATCCTCCCATCTCAGCCTTTATTCCAATAATGACCTAAATAATAACTTCTGCTAGCATCTCTTCTGAGTCTCCATTTCCTCTCCTGATATTCATCCAAATAATAAAAGTAACACAATTGCAATTGAGTTTACTATTATCAATGGCATTCTCATCACAGTTGTTACAGATTGAATACGGTTCATTAGCTGAGATTTAATTCCTGGCTCCTCCCCGAATCCACCAATTCTCTGGTCTATTCTCCAGCCAATGTTCTTGAGGAATTTCTCTTTGTGCAGCATGGCGATGGCACTGACACAGAGCAGGGCTGCCTGCAGCAGTCAGTACAAGGTAAAGGCCATGACCATCCAAGCTCCCGTGAGGTCCAACTGATTCCTCTCTGCTGCCACAAGGGACTTGGCGCCACCACGGCTGGTGCTTTCCTCTCTATCTGTCTTTAATTTAAACCACGGGCAGAATAACCAAGAGCTCTCCCTACTCAAGAGCATCTCTATTTTGTTTTAATTATAAATAGTAAGAAAAAAGAGTCACGTCCTAAGCCAAATTAGACCTTAACACCTTATATCTTTATAAAGTCCCAACCCACTGTTATGCCAGAAAGTCACCTTGGACAGTAGTTTTCAAACAAGAACAATTTTGCCCCAATCCCACCCTCACAGGGACATTCAGCAATTTTTTTATTTTTAAGAGATGGGGTCCTGTTCTGTCACCCAGGCTGGAGTGCAGTGATATGATCATAGCTCACTGCAGCCTTGAACTCCTGTGCTCAAGCAATCCCCACCTCAGCCTCCTGGGTAGCTAGAACTATAGGCACCTGCCACTACACCTGGACCATTTGGCATTGTTTGAAGAAATTTTTGGTTGTCACAACTAAAGAACAGAGGGTTTACTACTAGTATCCAGCTGGTAAAGGCTGCCAAACGTCCTAATGTACAGGACTACAAATAATTATCTAGCCCCAAATCTCAATAAAGCTGAGGTTGAGAAACCCTGCTTTCAGAGATAAAGCTTAGCTCTCTCTGTGTGTAAGTCATACTTTATTAACTTAATCACATCTGAACTCAAATTCCAGCAAAGGAAATAAACATTAGGAAAATCTGAATCACAAGATGTTTGACTTAAAATTACTTTGGCAGGCAATGACAATACAGTAGCAAGACTTTTACTTTCCAGTTTGACTTACACAGTCACAATCTACCACTGAAACTTCAAAATCCATTTTCATTGGACATTATATTTTGGTGGTTTAAAAGTGTATGGTGGAGAGGCTCTGGAACAAGACAAGGCTGCATTCAAATTCCAGCTCCAACACTTACTAGCTGTAAGAACTTAGGAAAGTCCCCTAACCTTACCAGGATTCAGTTTCCTTGTCTGCAATATCAGACTAATAATATCCATCTCAAAGTTTTTTAAGGATTAAATGAAAAATACACTGAAAGCACTGAGCAAATCTATCTAGAATAAATACTAAAAATTTTGTTTAGTTTGGAGAGCAATTATAATTAAGAGTATTGACTTTTAAAAATCCTTGCTCTTGGCCAGGCATGGTGGCTCACACCTATAATCCCAGCACTTTGGGAGGTCCAGGCAGGTGGATCAGGAGATCAGGAGTTCAAGATCAACCAGGCCAAGATGGTGAAACCCTGGCTGAGGCAGGAGAATTGCTTGAACCCAGGAGGCAAAGGTTGCAGTGAGCCGAGATTGCACCATCACACTCCAGCCTGGGCAACAAGAGCGAAACTCTGTCTCAAAAAAAAAAAAAAAAAAAAAATTAGCTGGATGCGGTGGCAGTTACCTGTAATCCCAGCTACTTGGGAGGCTGAGGCAGGAGAATCACTTGAACCTGGGCGGCAGACATTGTAGTGAGCCAAGATCGTGCCACTGCACTCCAGCCTCGGCGACACAGTGAGACTCCATCTCAAAAAAAAAAAAAAGAAAAAAAGAAAAAAGCAAAAAACCCCTGCTCTTCTATTTACTGTGTAACTTGAACAAATTATTTCCTGACTTTGAACCACAATTTCCTCTTTTGTGAAATGGGCCTAATACTATCCCTCTTATAGATTGATGAGGACCAATGAGATAAAGTATGTAAAGCACTCAGCATAGTTGGAAAATAGTAAGTGTTCAACATACAGAAGTTATTTTTATTATTAAAGTGGGCCCAATAAAACCCAATGGCATTTTCCACATATAAAAGCTCTCCCATACATGTCCTGACCTATGCTTTGTCTAATTTTGTGCTATTTGGTCTGGTTAAAGAATAGTTGTTATATTTCTCTTAAGATCTGTTTACTAAGCTAGAAAATACATCACTCTCCCTAGTACTCTGTTAATCAGGAAGGTTTTTAATTTGATCTTTTTGGTATGAATAGTTTAAATGTATTTTTACTCTGTTTTCACCATAAAATTGCAATTGCCTAGAAGGCCAGAGAAGCAAAATAAGTATGTTTCATATAGCAAAGTTTTTAAACTATCTCCTAGTCCCAGTAGCAATTTTACTAAAGTATCAAAATCAGAGAACTCACCTCTAGGCAAGCTCCTGCTATGCTTAGAGTGAATATTGGATTCAGACAACATTCTGTTTCCTTAGCCTTAGCAATTAATGCATACCAAAGAAATCCACATTTAATAGTTAATCTCAGGGCTGGGCGCGGTGGCTCACGCCTGTAATCCCAGCACTTTGGGAGGCCAAGGCAGGCGGATCATGAGATCAGGAGATCGAGACCATCCTGGCTAACACGGTGAAACCCTGTCTCTACCAAAAATACAAAAAATTAGCCGGACGTGGTGGCGGGTGCCTGTAGTCCCAGCTACTCGGGAGGCTGAGGCAGGAGAATGGCGTGAACTCGGGAGGTGGAGCTTGCAGTGAGCCGAGATCGCACCACTGCACTCCAGCCTGGGTGACAGAGCAAGACTCCGTCTCAAAAAAAAAAAAAAAATAGTTAATCTCTCAGAATTCAAAGTTATAGCTAAAATAATTACCTAGAAGAAAAGGGAGCCCTACTGACCATGCCAAAAATATCTCATTGTATCATCATGACAAATTTAAAAGTAATTCATAGAATTATTTCACCACTTACAGGTAACATCTGTTATTTGTTTCAGAGACTAGGTCAATAAAAAGTTCAAATCCAACACAAAGAGAAATCACTCACCTCTGGAGATTTCTGTATATTATGGAATACAGCATAGGCAATAAGTGAACTTGAACCTATAACACTGAGAAATTTAGAAGATGATTGATCATTAAAGCAGGACAATGGAGTGCCATCGTTTTTGTTATTAATTTTGGGTTTTTTTTACAGTTTTATTGGCATAATTGATATAAAATAAACTGCATTAAAAAAATTTTTAGACACAGGGTCTTGCTATGTCAGCCAGGCTGGAGTGCAGTGGTGTCATTATAGCTCAACGTAACCTTGAACTCCTGGGCCCTGGTGATCCTCCTGTCTCAGCCTCCTGAGTAGCTAGGACTATAGGTGTGAATCACCACAACTGGCTAATTATTTTATTTTTTGTAGTGATAGGGTCTTGCTATGTTGCCCAGGCTAGTCTCAAACTCCTGGCCTCATGTGATCTTCCCACTTTGGCCTTTCAAGCACTGAGATTACAGGTGTGAGCCACCATGCCCAGCCCTGCACATATTTTTTTTTTTTTAGAGGCAGGGTCTCCTTCTGTCACCCAGGCTAGAGTACAGTCGTACAATCATAGCTCACTGCAGCCTCCAACTCCTGGGCTAAAGTGATCCTCCCACCTTAGCCTCCTGAGTAGCTGGAACTACGGGCATCTGCTACCATGCCCAGCTAATGTTTTAAAATTTTTTGTAGAGACAGGGTCTCGCTATGTTGCCCAGGCTGGTCTCAAACTCCTGGGCTCAGGCCATCCTCCTGCCTTGGCCTCCCAAAATGCTGGGATTACAGGCATGGGCCACCATATCCAGCCAATATTTTTAAACAAATATAGAATGCTTCACAAATTTGCACATTCTCCTTATCCAGAGGCCATGCCAATCTTTTTTTTTTTTAATTTTTTTTGAGATAGGGTCTTGCTCTGTCAACCAGGCTGGAATGCAGTGGCACAATCACAGCTCCTCCTGAGTAGCTGGAACTACAGACACATACCACCATGTCCAGCTATTTTTATGGGGTTTTTTTGTTTGTTTTGTTTTGTTTTATTTTGCTTTTTTGTAGGGACAGGGTTTCACCATGTTGCCCAGGATGGTCTCAAACTCCTGAGCTCAAGCGATCTGCCCACCTCAGCCTCCCAAAGTGTTGGGATTACAGGTATGAGCTCAGCCCTGCCAATTTTCTCTTTGTCATTCCAATTTTTAGTATAGGTGCTGCTTAAGTAAGCACTTTGCTATTGATTTTGCAACTGATCCTGCTGACCAGGTTGTCCACTGATGTTCAGATGTTATCCTTTAATCAATTTTTTGTTGTTATTGTTGTTAATGTTGTCACTTTATTAGTAAGAAAATATCAAGATGATAAAGAATATCATTTCTCTTTAACTAAAGAGTAAAAGCAAATCCCCAAGGGGGAAATGTGGAAAACTACAGAATTGACGAACTTTGCTTATACTAGTTTAGTTATATGAGATTAAATAAACATACCTCAGAGTAGCCATGACAAATTGTATCCACTGTATTGCAGGAAGAACCTAAGCAAAACAAGGAAAACGGAATAAAATTAAACCTTTTACATTGAATATTCAACCTAAGTTCATTATTAACTATCTGTACAGCATGAATTTTTCTTCAAAGCCTAATCTCAAAACATACTATAAGCCTGAGAATGAGTTAAAAGGCTGAACAGGCCCCTGGAAAGACAAGGTGCTCCTTTTTTCCTCTCTTATTTCTATTTCACTGGGAAATAGTATGATTTTTTAAAAAATAGAGATGTGGATTGAAAAATGACTAAATGAAAAAGGGAAACTAGC